>NC_000001.11:239517454-239668970 GCF_000001405.40 Homo sapiens | reverse complement strand
GCAGGCAGGGATGCCCTTTAAAGAAATTAATGTCCCTTTCAGTTTCTTAGTGCGGTGTAAAGTGGAATATGGCATTTCTCCTAATCCTATTATCTCTAGAACTACTGGTTTGTTCTCTGAATAAGACCCCAAACTGTCTTTCTAATGAGCAAGACTGGACAAGAAAACACATCCTAATCACCAACAAACATAAGCTTCTGCAGTCACACTCTGATGTGATAAATTAGAATTCTGCTCTACAGAAGCCAACACAGTATGGATGAGTTGAGAGTTATTTTTAATGTTAACCTAGAATGGTAAAGCATCAGAATGTTTGAGCCTAAGCTGTACAGAGGCAATACAAAATTCTATTACTGTAGAATTCTAATTTTCCTTTAGACACAATTCTTTTACATTTTAACTATATCTTCCTGTACTTTATCCCAAGAGCAATGCAGAGTTATTAAAATGCTTTGAGTGGAAGACTGAAGTGATAGAGATGGTCTTTATGTAAAAGGTATCTGGAAGCAATGCTCAGACTAAACATTAAAGGAAAAGAGGTTCGAGAAGTGGGGGACACATCACATTTTAAAAGTGTATTTGGGCCAGACACGGTGGCTCACACCTGTAATCCCAGCACTTTGGGATGCTGAGGTGGGCAGATCACTTCAGGTCAGGAATTCGAGACCAAGCTGGCTAACATGGTGAAAACCCATCTCTACTAAAAATATTACAGGTGGTAGTTCAAGCCTGTAATCCCAGCTACTCAGGAGGCTGAGGCATGAGAATTGCTTGGGCCTCGGAGGCAGAGGTTGCAGTCAGCCAAGATCACGCCACTGCACTCCAGCCTGGGCAACAGAGCAAGACTCTGTCTCAAAAAAAAAAAAAAAAAAAAAAAAAAAGAAAGGGGAAAAAAAAGAAAAGAAAAAGTGTATTTGACCTTAAGTGATAAAAAAAAGAGAACACTTTTAAGTAGTAGTGAATTCTTAATAAAATTAGGTAGCATGGAGTCTGCACCAATTCCAAAAAGCAATGTAAAACAAAACACTTATTACATATTGCTTTTAAGTTGTAGGAGAAAAATGGGTTTGTACTAGAGTTACAAATGTACAAGAGCACAGATGGATGATTCTGTTCCTATCAGGTATGGGAAGACAATAAAAGACATGACAGAGAAAGGTGATTTGTGTTGGATTCTGAAGAGCTGGGTAGAGTTTTGACAGGAAAACTTTCAAGATAAGGGGGTTTGTACACACAGAAAAACATCCGAAAGCCTGTAGCACAGAACATATTTAGACAGCTTGACCAGGGCATGTGCACTTACAGGAGGTAGCACGTGACAAGGGAAAGGATGAAGAGGTGCTTCTCTGAGAACTTAATTCTCCCCCTTGAGCTTCAGTTTCTTCGTGGAGTCTAAATTTTCCTATCTTGGACACACAATTAACATCTGCCCAAAAGTGGTGACCCTCAGTCCACAGCTGAGAGTGTTGAGGCAGGGTGATCATGAAAAGCCGTCCTGATAGGATGTAGGGGAGAAAAGGCCTTGTAATGGTGCATATGAGATGTCTGCATGAGTCTCCGCACATGACAGTGGACTTGGATGCTGAGGTCTGCATGGGATATGCGGGACATTGGACCAGACGTCTCACCTGACTGGACAGAGAAGAGAACTTATTTTTATAAGGCAAGGGAACAGTAATGCCTTGGAGATTAAAAGAAAAAGGAATGTGTCTGTGCTGGGTGTATGTGTGTATGGATTTTAGGAAAGACTGTAGTAAATAAATCTGTGTTGTAGAGATGCTGAATAAGCTGTGAAGGTGGCTTGCTCAGCTGCCAATATAAGCAATTCGTGATACAAAGAAATTAAGCCATGGAGAGATCATTAAAAATGAAAATATAAAGATGATCTACCTGCACAACAGCTAACAGAGTGATTTGAGAAGAGATGCAGATTAAGAAGAAAAGAGTGTCACGCAGCCATAAAAAAGAACAAATCGTGTCGTTTGCTGCAACATGGATGCAGCTGGAGGCCATTATTCTAAGTGAATTAACAAAAGAACAGAAACCCAAATACTGCATGTTCTCCCTGTAAGTGGGAGCTAAACATTGTGTACTCATGGACATAAAGATGACAACAGTAAACACTGGGCCTACTAGAGCTGGGAGGAGGGGGAAATGTTGAGAAACTAATTGTTGGACACTATGCTCACTTCCTGGGTAACGGGATCAGTCATACCCCAAACCTCAGCCTCCCACAGTATAACCAGGTAACAAACCTGATATGTACCCCCGAATCTAAAATAAAAGTTGATATTGTAAAAGAGAGAGAGAGTGTCTAATGGGAGGGGCAGAGAGCTCAGACTCAGGAAATGTTATCTATTTCAGGAGGCAGGTGGTGGAAAAGAAAAATCCAGCCACAAACCCAGGAAATAACAGGAGAAAGTGGAAGAACACATAATTGTGAGATATTATTGATGGCACTGTCCAGAAATAAGTAACAGGCCGGGCTCGGTGACTCACGCCTGTAATCCGAGCACTTTGGGAGGCCAAGGTGGGCAGATCACCTGAGGTCAGAAGTTCGAGACTAGCCTGGCCAACATGGTGAAACCCCAGCCCTACTAAAAAAAAAAATTGCTGGGTGTGGTGGCAGGCACCCGTAGTCCCAGCTATTCAGGAGGCTGAGTCAGGAGAATAGCTTGAACCTGGGAGATGGAGGTTACAGTGAGCCAAGATCAAGCCACTGCACTCCAGCCTGGGTGACAGAGCGAGACTCCATCCCCCCCGCCAAAAAAAAAAAAAGTCAGGCAACAACAGACGCTGGAGAGGATGTGGAGAAATAGGAATGCTTTTACACTGTTAGTGGGAGTGTAAATTAGTTCAACCATTGTGGAAGACAGTGTGGTGATTCCTCAAGGATCTAGAACCAGGCTTACCATTTGACCCAGCAATCCCATTGCTGGGTTATATACCCAAAGGATTATAAATCATTCTACTATAAAGACACATGCACATGTATGTTTATTGCAGCACTATTTACAATAGCAAAGACTTGGAACCAACCCAAATTCCCATCATTGATAGATTGGATAAAGAAAATGTGGCACATATACACCGTGTAATACTATGCAACCATAAAAAAGGATGAATTCATATCCTTTGCAGGGACATGGATGAAGCTGGAAACCATAATTCTCAGCAAACTAACAGAACAGAAAACGAAACACCGCAAGTTCCCACTCATAAGTAGGAGTTCAACAATGAGAACACGTGGACACAGGGAGGGGAACATCACACACTGGGGCCAGTCGGGGGGCAAGGGGCTAGTGGAGAGACAGCATTAGGAGAAATACCTAATGTAGATGATGGGTTGATGGGTGCAGCAAACCACCATGGCACGTGTATACCTATGTAACAAACCTGCAAGTTCTGCACGTGTACGCCAGAACTTAAAATATAATAATAAAAAAGAAACATTCCAAAAAAACCAAAAGGTAACAATTGCCTCAAATTCTATGTTTTCAGTTAGAAAAATCAGGAAAAAAATAGCTTCCATTAAAAAGGAGAAGGGTTCACTGATAACCTTTAAGACCAATGGTTCAAGGTAATTAGAGGATAGGTGCAAAGTGGCAACAAATTCAAGATGAGAGGGACCAAGGTGGAAGTGCAGACGATGCTGAGGAGCCTAGCAGCTCAGGGAAAGCAGAAAAATGGCCGCTGATTACAGGAAGCGGCACTGGGCATACAGCAGGCGCTCAACGTCTTTTTGAATGAGTTAAAGAAGACAGGGAGGTAAGGTCTAGAAAAAGTCTTTTTTTTTTTTTTTTTTTCAGAGAAAAACAAACTTTTAACGTTGGAAATGCCAGCATAAGAAATCAGGCTAAAAGGACAAGAGAGAGAGGATGGAGAAAAGTGAATATAGTCGTGGAAGGGACCATTTTTTTCCAGAGACCGATGGTGTGATGGGAGAATGAGCACACAGAGACAGATCTGCTGCAGGGGCCTGGGGTGCAGATGTGTGGGTTCTAGTTTCCTCAGAACAGCAGGTGACAGGTTCTCTAGGAGAACATTGGTTTGAAGGGACAGGAAGGGAGAGGGAGATTTGGCAAAGCCGCTATCAAGAGTAGACCGAACCGTGGTGAAAAGTAGACAAGAAGTACACTGAGAAGCCAGGAAGACCCACACTGAGAACGGGCCTTGCCTAGAAGGCACTGGATTTCTCCACTACGGATGTGCAACATTGAAACATGGAAGAGAAAGGCTTCAAAGAGGGTAACATGAGATCATAGGGGAGGACAGAAGAAGGGAGAGGGGCTAGAGTCCCAGAGAGGGTGCTACCCAGGGAGGGAGACTGGACAACTCCCAGGTATGGCCGCAGGGGACTCACAGTCTTCGTATGAGACTAAGAGGAAGGAAGGGGCCTAGGGCTCACCAGGAGAGATTCTCAAGATGAGGGGTAAGAGAAAAAACAATAAAGTTTCCAAACCATACAGGTCATTTTTCCAAAAGGGCAATGGCAACCGTTTTCTCCATCTTGCAGAATAAAAAAAATGAAAAGTTTTGGAAAGTATTTTAGAGGTATGTAGGAAGCCCTGTCACTTTCATTCAAGAGCACAAAGAACCATGCCACACACAAGCAGGACTTTTAACAATGCCTTTGACACTGTTGGATCATTGAATTGGTGATAAATTAAAAATGGAATAAAAGCCATTTTCCTTCCCAAGCTATGCACATGCACTCATAGAGCTGGATTTAACAGGATGACTTACGTGAAGATAACGCTTTATGCTCAAAAGGACTATGTAAATATTTGTAGGCAAAGAGGATTCTTGGATGAATGAATAGTCATCTACTGCTTTCTGATGTCCTAAAAATATTTTTAAAACAAAGACTAAAATAGAATTTTGGTAGCTTTTAATTCTTCACGAAAACCAGAAGGAAGACCCAGAGGATAAATTTGAGTATCCCATTTGGGAAACTTGGTTTCCTGATGAAGAAAAAAATGTTAATTTTTTTCTTTAAGTGTTACACATATTTTAGAAAATTGTTTTGATATTTAAATGGATCACTTACCAACCAACATTTCATCCTACTGGTTCCCTAGCTATGTGAAATCATCAGAAATTTCCTGAGATTTCTTTAAAGGGACAGCTTTCTGGGTACCACTCCAGTGATTCTAATTCAGGAGGCCTGAGGTAAGGCCCAGGAATATGTATTTTTAAAGTGTCTAAAGGAATAGTGAAAATGGTAAGCGCATTCTACAATTAACGAAGTGCAAAATGCATGTATTTAGATTTCCATTGTATAAAATTTACGAGGACATTGGCACTGTTCAACTCCAGTCTCAGATTTAAGCCTAACTTATTTTATTTGGAAACCTAATATATAAAGCTTCAGTTTTAGTTATTGTGCTTTAAAAATACAAACAGGCCTAAAAATAAGTGGGCAGTACACTACAAATTAATTTACTAGTGTGTATTCTTCCTTTCTCTTAGGACTCCATCCCATCGACTCTGAGGGCACCGGCATGGGACCAGATTTCCTTCCGTTGGTTGTCACAGGAAACATTCAGCTTTCCCTCTCCAGGGGATGTGGCACAATCGAAAGACATATGGCTGTGTTTAATGGGAATTGCAGAAACTCAGGAATTTAACAAACTGTTCACAAAATCCAGGGTGTAAACTCTTTTGAGTTACCTGAGAAGACAAAAGCTCTTAAGTTAGCTGAGGTAAAAGCTAAAGCTCTGCTAGTGATCTGCTGGAAAAGGAGGGGGGTGCAGGCAGAGACATGCAAAGCAGGTGAGAGTGGAGAGCAGCAGGCAGCAGAGTGGGCAGAACAGAGGCACCTCCTCAGCCCTAACATCAGAGCTGCCCGGCACCGGGACAGCCCCGACTGACTGAGACCTTCTGCTTCCCAAACACAGCAATACATGTGAGAGATTTAAAAAACAGAAGAAAAAGAAGAAGAAAAGAAGAAGAGGAAGAGAAAGAAGAAGGAGAAGGACAAGGAAGGAAGGAAGAGAGGAGAAGGAAGAGGAGAAAGGAGAAGGAAGAAGAAGAGGAGAAGAAGAAGAAGAAGAAGAAGAAGAAGAAGAAGAAGAGGAGGAGGAAGAGGAGAAAGAGGAGAAAGGAGAAGGAGAAGGAAGAGGAAGAAGAAGAGGAGGAGGAAGAGGAAGTGGAGGAGGAGGGAAGAAAGAAGAAGAGGACAAAGGAGAAGGAAGAAGTAGAGGAGGAGGAGGAGGAGCGAAAAACAAACAAAAACAATATCACCAAATAAACACTCCTATATTTATTAATATCCATTGCAGAAAACTATTAACTTGGGTCTGTCAAGTTACTAGATACTTGTACTCTCTGGATACCTGTCCTGAGTAAGGCTGGGGGACAATGGTGGGCCAGGTTATTTTAAGAATTTCCTACATATTAGGCTTGATATTGCTTTGCGGCTATAATTCAATTGTGCTGTTCTCAACAGAAAAATTAAGTTTCTCCCAATATTTTATCAAAATTTGAATAGGGTGCTACCATACCAAATCAGAAATACCGATAAATGAATGCCTTGACAAAATGCATGTTGTCATCCACATCGTTTGGGTTAATTTTATTTCCCAAGGTTAAAGGTTTTCATAAAGTCTCCTACTACAATCATGTACAGTCATTTCAAAATCAGACATGTCAATCACACTTCATACCTACTAGGACTCTTCCTGCTTATGGGAGGCAGGTTTACAATCATTACTAGAACTCTATGCAGTGTTTTCAATCAGCTGAGAAATAAGAAGTGTATTTGCAACAATCTCTAAAACGACAGCTTTCAAACTTTTTTTTAACCTCTTATCCACAGTAAGATACACACACACACACACACACACACACACACACACACACATCTAAAACTGAAACAGATATTTCCTTAAACAGTTTTTATCCTCACAATGCATGATGTGCTTAGATACATTCTATTCTATTCTGTTTTTTTTAATTAATAGGCTTTATTATTTATTTATTATTTATGGTAGTTTTAGGTTTGCAGAAAAGTAGAACAGAAACTACAGAGAGTTCCTATAAACTATCTTTCCTTTCCCCCTTCTCACACACAGTTTCCTTTGTTATTAATACCTTGCATTAATGTAGCATATTTGTTATAACAAGTGAACCAATATTGATATATTACTACCAGCTAAAATCTATAGTTTAAATTAGGGTTCACTCTCCGTGTTGTACATTCTGTGGATTTTGACAAATCTATAATGATGTATCCACCATTATAGTATTATACAAAATAGTTTCACCGCCTTAAAAATACCGCATGCTCCAACCTGTTCATCCCTCCCTCTACGCTAACTCTTGGCAACCAGTCATCATTTTACTGTCCCCACAGTTTTGCCTTTTCCAGAATATCATATTGTCAGAATTGTCCAGTACATAACCTTTTAAGCCTGGCTCCTTTTACTTAGTAATATCCATTTAAGGGTCCTCCATGTCTTTACACAACATGACAGCTCATTCTTTTTATTGCTAAATATTCCATTGCATAGGTGTGCCACTGTTTATTATTTCATTCTATTTCATTAAAAAACTGGATGTGAACACAGTAAACTGACTTTAGAACCTAAAACTCATTAATCAGCCATATCCATAATTTGAAAGATACTACCTAAAATATGTTGTTAAGTGCTTGCTAAGACTACAAAGGAGCAGACAGCTTGGTCTCTACCTTAGAAGTTTATAATGTTATTGAGAGGAGCAGCCTATGTATGTGACATTTAGTAACAAAAGGGTAATCACAATACAAATGTTAACATCAAAATAAAAGTAGAAGACATTTAAAAATAGGAGTTCTTTAGTTCTGTTGAGCATTAAGAAGACTTGGTAGGTGCTGGGATATAACTGTGTACAAGCAGTACCTTTCTGTCACTTACTGATCAGGAGACCTGGGCATGTTATTATTTTTAAATGCCTCAGTTTCCCTGTTTGTAAAAGTGATATAACAGTAATATCTATCTCACTGGGTAATCATGAGAAGTAAATGAAATAATGCACACATAGAGCTTGGAAGAGTATGTGACATATAAGAAGTCTTCAACAAATATTAATCTATTATTATTATTTTGGAGACAGAGTCTCTCTCTGTCACCCAGGCTGGAGTGTGGTGGCACGATCTTGACTCACTGCAACCTCCACCTCCCAGGTTCAAGCAATTGTACCTCAGCCTTCAGAATAGGTGGAATTACAAGCATGCGCCATCACACTGGGTAATTGTTTTGTATTTTTAGTAGAGACTGGGTTTTGCCATGTTGGCCAGGCTGGTCTCCAACTCCTGGCCTCAAGTGATCCCCCTGTCTCAGCCTCCCAAAGTACAGGGATTACACGCATGAGCCACTGTGCCTGGCCATGTTAATCTATTATTATCATTACTATTAACCACTCTATCCATCTTTCATACTTGTCTGGAATATAGTAAGTGTTCAATAAGATTTTTTTTAATATATATAGACTAAGGACTGCAATTTTCTTAGACTTATACGGTCTGTGGAAGCTTGTCAGAAGAGCTAGACAATGAGCCTTGAAGAAATGTAAGTGATTTGGTAAGTGTAGGGAAGAAGAAAGTTGTAAGAAGCTGAGGAGATCGTATAATACAAGGCTGAAAAGTAGAAAAGTAAAAGTAACATTTGGAGGACAGTAATCAATTTGATTAAAAAAGAGAGTTAGGGCCAGGTGTAATGGCTAATGCCTGTAATCCCAGTACTTTGGGAGGCCGAGGTAGAAGGATCACTTGAGGCCAGGAGTTGGAGACCAACCTGGTCAAATTAGTGAGAACCCCATCTCTACAAAAAACAATACAAAACAAAACAAAAACCATTAGCCAGTGCAAGCATGATGGCATGTGCCTGTAGCACCAGCTACTTGGGAGGCTGATGCAGGAGGATCATTTGAGCCCAGGATTTGGACGCTGCAGTGAGCTATAACGATACCACTGCACTCCAGCCTGGACAACAGAGTGAGACCCTGTCTCTAATAAGTAAAGAAGAATAAGACAGTTAGAAATTAAGAAAGAGAAACTTACAAAGATCACTGATGGTCTTTGCAAATGATAGATATTTGGACTTCCTCTTTCAATGAGTATGAGAGGACAAACTCCATTACTGAAATAAAGAGAATAAAGTCCTAATGCCCTCAGGTATCCACTGTAGGTAATGAGCTAACTTCTCCTCTATACATGTTGGAATGGTACCAGTTATGCACTATCCTTTGGAGAGTTGGGGAGATACACTTAAATAACTTTCTGTGGTTCAGTTGAAGAAATCTGAAGGGGAATGTTTATTGTCCATTATGGTAGGCACTTGCCAAGTGTGACTATTTCCAATTTAAATTAAAGACAAAGAATTAAAATTTCTCTTCTTCAAGTGCCACTAGTCGCATTTCAAGTGCTCAATAACCTCAAATACTTGGTGGCTACTTGGACAGACTTGTGCTTTTACTAGTACAGACAGAGAATATTTCCTTCATCATGGAAAGTTCTCTTGAGAGAAGGGGGCCTAGAGACTAGGGATGCATCTGTGAAGGGGAGGAATGGGACAGTGGCTGGAGGAGAGACACAGAGTGAAGGGAAGTGGAGTTTACCCATATAAATCCATAGGGATCTGCCAGTCCTTCCTCCAGACAAGAGGGAGACACTGCTGTTACTGGGAATCTTGGGAACAAGTGAGATGGCAAGATCCCAACCAAAAGAAGATAACAGCAGAGAAGTGGCTAACTTAGAGAGGAAGAGAAAAATTTCTTTCTCCCCAGAGACACAGGGAGCAGAGAACACGTATAGAAAGAGAACATAAAGCAGAAGTTGTTGGAACTCATACCTGTTAACCTTGAGCAAAAGGAAAAACAACCACTGAGAATGAAGAAGTTAAACTGTTTTCACAATGTGAACATGGAATGGATTTATTAAAAATCAAACCAGGGCCAGGCAAGTGGCTCGCACCTATAATCCCAGCACTTTGGGAGGCCAAGGTGGATGGATCACTTGAGGTCAAGAGTTCGAGACCAGCCTGGCTAACACGGTGACACCCGTCTCTACTAAAAATACAAAAAATAGCCAGGTGTGGTGGCACACACCTGTAGTTCCAGCTACTCAGGAGGCTGAGGTGGGAGAATCGCTTGAACCCGGGAGGTGGAGGTTGCAGTGAGCCAAGATCGCACCACTGCACTCCAGCCTGAGTAACAAAGTGAGACTCTGTCTCAAAAAAAAAAAAAGTCAATAAAATTATCTTGAAGAAGCTATGAGAGGATGTTCTTGAAGGTATATAGTTGCTTTTCATGACTCTTCAGCTTTTAGGTGCTAAAAATCTTTGATAATGTGCATAGTCCTTAATCAATCAGTCAGTTATTATTGATTGGGTCCCAATATACCAGATGTTCTGGGCAACCATATAATCAAGATGTAAAGTCTGCACTTACAGAAAGCACAATGAGAACAATATAACCAACTGCTAAGTTACAGCATGCAATTGAAAAATGTTATCTTGCATTAGGCATGGCAACTCCCTGGCCTCATGTTGCAAATCTTGGCTCTTCGGCCTCTTGCAGGTATCACAAATCAATCTTGACATTCTTTCTAGTTGAGTCCAAAGAAGCCTCAGGATATTTTCCATCACAAACCCACTATTCAACCTACTAGTTATTATGAGAAATACAACTATTTTTAAATTTGGTACACATCAGAATTGTATTGTCAGTCAAACAGAGGAAGCCCATTTTAAAGCTACAGATTTGTTTTATGATAGTAAACTCGCTTTATTGTTTGAAGCCCAAAGAGTCAATCAGTCACTCAGATTAAAAGACTAGATCTCAATAGCCAGTCTCATATTTATTAGATACTTAACTCTCAGTCTCAGGAACTTTTCTTTCTTTGAGAGATAGAACCATTAAAAGAGCAAATTATGAAATTTCAAATTAAAATTAACAAGAAAGGCACAGACTGGACCACTTAAAAATAGTCCCCCAAAAGTATATTCCATTGTTCTCACTTTTTTTTTCAGAAATCCTACAACAATGTAGCTGTCAGAGTAAAACAAATTAAAACTTGCAATTGTAATGTCTCTCCAAACAATCGTGAAGAATGATGTAGTTATACTAATTACATAAGAGATAAATGAAGCCCACAAAGTAAGTGAGGGCATTGGAAACAGATGATGTTATTAATGTAATTTTGCTAAGTCATAAAGGGCACCTATAAATGTGAACATTTTTCTCAGGTTCAAAGATTTTCCTCTCCATACTTCAAATCACAGGATCAAAATGTGTATTCAAGTGGTTTTGCCATGAGATTTAATGCCTAAGATATTTCCGATGGAGGGAAAAATGTCAGAATATAAAAAGGCAATTAAAAAAGAAAGCTTTGCAAATGCCTGTTCTTGTAGCAACCTTGTGGAAGAGTTCATATTAGTTGCTGACTTTTCTGTGTTGAGTCATCAAAGCGCATAACTGCTGAACCTTCTTTGTTAGCTCAACTTCATAATGCCAGGCTCTGCAGGGGAAAAATTTTGGCAGAGTACTTAGTTGTTCTTTGGCCTCTCTCAGTTTTTGTTCTTTGGTCTCTCTCAGTTTCAGGTAAATTACCTGGAACATTCCAAACTGAGTGAAATAGTATTAAGAATATTGTTTTCATTTTCCTCAACAAGGTTACTTAAAACTGGACAATTTTACAATGGCAGTAATGTAGAGAGAGCATTAGGACATTTTGGGTATTCCAGCTCCTCTTCACATTCCACTGCAAAACAGGAGTCTCCAAAATAATTTTGTACAATGTAATGTTAGCATATAAAATGTTACTGGATTTGAAATGGTATGCACATATACAAATATACATGTGTGTGCAAATGTACCTGTTGGCTTTTCTTGTGAAGAACCCTATTTAAATTCTAAGACTAGTTCCTTGTACCAGTATAGCATTATAACATCCTTTCTTTTTCTTAAAAATGTTGACAGCAAAGATTAGTTGCTCTTTTTAATGACCCTTATTTTCAAAGCCAAAGGTTCATACTTCTATGTCAGTTTTCTAAACTATTTTGAAGTCCAAATTTTTGAGAACCATTGGTATAGAAGAAAAGAACTCTTTTATATGCACAATCACCAACATATTTCAAGGAATATATCTTTTGGAAATAAAACAAAGAAACTATAAAAACAAAGTATGATTACACTGGTTGGAAAATCATGTTTTATAATAATATATTTGTTAACTCGTATAAGTAATATTTTCATTACCAAGAATGTAAAAACATTAAAAAATCATTTAACTCACCTATAACCTCAATACCAAAATTTTATTTTTTATTGTATTTTATTTTATTTTTTAAGATAGGGTCTCGCTCTGTTGCACAGGTTGCAGTGCAGTGGTGTGATCATGACTCACTGCAGTGTCCACTTTCTGGGCTCAAGTGATCCTCCCACCTTAGCCTTCCAAGTAGCTGGGATTATAGATGCATATCACCACACCAGCTACTTTTTTTTTCTTTTTTCTTTTTTCTTTTTTTTTTAGCAGAGATGATGTCTTGCCATGTTGCCCAGGCTGCTCTCAAACTCCTGAGCTCAAGTGATTTTCCCCTTCAGCCTCCCAAAGTGTTGGGATTGCAGGCATGAGCTATCATACCTAACCCTTTTTTTAAAAAAAAATATTTTATTAAACAATTTTAGATTTGGTGGGGGGTACACGTACAAGTTTATTACACGAGTATCTTGTGTGATGTCGAGGTTTAGGTGTCTAATGATCCTGTTAACCAAATAATGAACATGGTACCCCAGAGGTAATTTTTCAACCCTTTCCCCCCCTTCCTTCCCTCTCCCATTTGGGGATCTCCAGTGTTTATCCTTTCCTTCTTTGTGCCCATTTGTACCCAATGTTACCTCCCACTTATAAGTGAGAACATACAGTAACTCAGTTTCTATTTCTGCATTAATTCACTTAGGATAATAGCAACATCTATGTTGCCACAAAGGACATGATTTTGTCCTTTTTTGTGGCTGCATTGTATTCCATGGTGTATAAAAGTACCACGTTTTATTTATCTAATCCATCATTGATGGAAATCTGGATTAGTTCCACATCTTTGCTATTGCCAACACCAACATTTTTATGTCTGTTCTTTTTCTTTGCATTTTCTTAATATTTATTTTTACAAAAAGGGCAATGGATGTCAAAGCAATTGCTTATTTTACATTACTTTGGAAGCCTTTAGAAAGACTGCCCATACAGGGGAGGTGTTTCAAGATTACACTGATATTATACTGATTGTCCAGGATAATGAACTAACTTTAGAGATGAAAAGTCAGATGGACAGTAAGGTCTTAGGGAAAGTGAGATGAAAGCACCCAATCCTTGGCTTAAAAAATTATACTAAGAGAAAGAGCTGGCCCAGAGCCATGTGCATAAGGTTATCCAAAATATGTTTAATTTGGGGCTCTATGAAAATATCTTGAAACTAGGGACCTCAAATAGATTGTGTTAGAAAGGCAGGGATAGATGAAAGTAAGATTATCTCCCATTCGACAGATGCAAAAATCTGACTCTGCCAACAGTCCAGGAGGTCAAAGAAGAGACTAAAGTTTTTGATGCAGCCTTGAGTTCTATTGTTGGGTCTTGCAAATTTCTGTAAGAAATGAGAAACAGTTTGACTTGACTTTGCTTGGCCTTTTGGCCTGCAAAAATACTAAGACAGGATGACATTTCAGCTACAAATTTTGCAGCTGTGTAATCACTGGGGTCTGGGAGACCTTACTATACTTGGTTCAGCATTTGAATTCCTTTTAAGACCAAGACAATAGAACTTATAATTAGCAAACTACCACAAGTCTCAGAGTATGACACATGAATAGAACTCTTCCTTTTCCTCTTTCGCTGCACGAGAACATAAAAATAGAACAAGTAACTAGTATATTTGTACTTCTCACCACTTTAATAAAAAACATATCTAAAGATGGAACTTGGTAAGAACAACGTCCAGTAGCAGATGAATTATTTTTATTTTCTTATAATATTGTGGCTTATTGTTGACATGAAAAAGTCAGTGTGAATCTATTAGAAAGGGACTTGTCCCAAATTGTTGTCCTTTCCTTTACATTTCCAGTATTGCAAATCCAGCTTGGGGTCTTATTATTTTTCCTAAGCCACTGAAATATCTCCTCTGATTTAGTCTCTCCACTTATTCTCACTTTGTTCCAACTCATTCATGGACGCCAGATATATGTTCCAATATTACAGCCCTGATAATGTCCATTCCCAATTCAGAAACAGTATGTGGGCTGGACGTGGTGGCTCATGCCTGTAATCCCAGCACTTTGGGAGGCCAAGGAGGGCGGATTACCTGAGGTCAGGATTTCGAGACTTTCCCGGCCCACATGGTAAAACCCCGTCTCCACTAAAAATACAAAAATTAGCCAGGATGGGTGGTGTGTGCCTGTAGTCCCAGCTACTCGGGAGGCTGAGGCAGAAGAATCACTTGAACCCAGGAGGCGAAGTTTGCAGTGAGCTGAGATCGCACTGCTGCACTCTAGCCTGGGTGACAGAGTGAGACTCCGTCTCAAAAGCAAAACAAAACAGTATGTGACTATTCATCATAGGAAAAGTAAGAATTGAACCGTCAAGGTCCCTCAAAATTGAATCCCTCCTTATCTTTATAACCTATTCTTCCCTCCAATCCTGTGCAACTGAGTTTCCAAAGAAGCTTCTTGGCTGGGTACAGTGGCTCGCACCTGTAATCCCAGGATTTACGAGGCCTAAGCAAGAGGATTGCTTAAACCCAGGAATTTGAGACCATCCTGAGTAACGTAGTGAGACCCCCATCTCTCCAAAAGGTATTCTTTCCAAAAATTAGCCAGGCGTGGTGGCTCACATCTGTGGTCCCAGCTACTCAAGAGGCTGACATGGGAGGACTGTTCGAGCCTGGGAAGTTGAGGCTGCAGAGAGCTGTGATCGTGCCACTGCACTCCAGCCTAGGCAACAGAGCAAGACTTTGCATTGTAAAAATTTTAAAAAATTAAAAAAGAAGCTTCTTTACCCTTTCTTCATGTGCTTCAAGCTTTGCTGCCTCTGTTCTTTTCTGTTTGTTTGTTTGTTTTGTTTTTCTCCTCTCTTGCTATTTCCTCCAAAAAGATTGCAACTCTCTCCCAAGATTCTGTTTATCCCCCAGGGCCAACCATAAAAGTCTTGACTCTGAAGCCCTGCGGACACATGACCAGAGGCAATCACTCCTTTCTCTGATCCTCCATAGAAATTCTCCTCTATGCCTACTTGTCTGATTTTTATCTTGCTCTTTAAGTGGATGTGTCTTATTTTCTGCTACTGGATAAGGTAAACGGCAGAATGCTAAACGAGCCCTTGTAAGTTCAGACCGTTTTTGAAAAACAGACTTTCTGGTATCTACATGCACAGGCTTCTGTATCTGAAGAGACGACCACCTTCCCCTCCTTCCCATCTGCAACCAGCTTGGCTCTTTGACAAAGATTCCATCCTTGACCAAACTTCAGTCAGGCCCTTCTGAAGCTACTTCCCACCAGGCCCCTACCTTGGTACTTCCGTTTCCGTCTCTGCATCACTCGGTTGTAAAAAGATTCCTGCTAAGTCGGTTTATTCAGAATTCCCAACCCTCAGTATCTTATCCCCTTCTGTGTCTGATCAAACTCCTCACTCCTCATCATCTCCCAGATGACATCTGCTCACCCTGGACTGCCTGCAGCTAGAATCCCGAAAGAAGATCTGTTTCCTAGGAATCCCCCTTACTCGTGATGCCTCCTCTTAGGAATTTTCCATCTACTGACTCCAGGCGGCTCCTTGGCTATACATCCCCACTTGTCCATGTTGTGTTTGGAATTGATCCCAGTTCTATACTGAGGTCTCTTTCTCCCTATTGTAATAGTTCCTCAATAAAACCTGATTTTTCCACATTAACTATGGTCTGGCTCTGGTTTTTCATTAACACTGTCCAAGGGCCAGGGGATGGCCCTATCAGTCATTTAGACCATATATTATTATAAATGATATATATCAACACTTCATGTTATCAGTCTCTTATATTGAGATGATTCTACTTGTGAGATCTGCCATCTTAACTTCTACAAAATAGTTCTTAACAATGAACATAATACTGTCTTATGGACCACTTTGTTTGGTTTTCACGACTTTATGAGATAGGCTGATGTTGCAACCCCACACTATGAAGGAAGAAAATAAGGCTCAAAGAGGTTAAGGGACTTATCCATAGTAATATAAGTAGAAGTAACATTTAGCAGTGGAGGAAACTCAGAAAGATTATTACACCTATTTGCAAGTCCGTGCCTGCAGTTAAATCTTTTTTTTTTCCTGTCATAGTGAGCATATGGTTGAGAAAATAGAGAAAAAAGGAAGATCACACCAACAACGCTTCTTCCTCACTACTTTCTTCTGCTCTTGCTCAGCAGAGAAAAAAATAGTAAAAAACAGGTAAAATTATTGAACAGTTACTAACAGGTAGGCACTACATAAACACTTTATATGTAACTATCTTATTTATCTCTCATAGTAGTATTTATGAGGTACCTATGATTATATCACACAGGTGAGGAAACAAGATTAGAAAATTAGCTTGCTCAAGGTGGAATGGGGATTTGAACCAAGATCTATGTGCTTTAAGGCCCACATTTCTAACCTCAATGACAGTGCTTCTCAAATTTTAATGTGCCCATGAGTCACTGAAAGAACTTATTAGTTGCAGATTCAGACTCAGTAGGGCTAGGGAGTTGCAGGACACAGAGGACCAGAGAGCTCAGTATGGGTGAATACAGGAGGATATTTATTTTAAGGTATACACCGGCTCAGTGGATTCACATTCAAAAAGCTGAGCCTTGAACAAAGACAGAGTGGGGCTTCTATAAGCAGGCTTACAAAAGCAAAACAAAGGCAGTTAATCATATAGTGCATAACTTGTGGCCTTGCATAGCTGGTGGCCTTGTAGCTGCATCAAAAAAAAAAAAAAAAACAAAAACTGGCGAAATACAGACATTTGTAAAACACAGCCATACTTAAGAGGCCAGGGAAAGGAGTATCAGTGAAGGAATTTGTCTTTCTCTCTTTTTTTTCCCCTCAACCTTGCTTTGCAGGGGTGTGGGGGGGTGCTGTCTGGAGCCCATTCCCTTGGCCTTGGCTTTTTGGACAGCATTATCTTTTAACTGTCCTTGAAGTGAGCTGCTAAGCAGAGGAAAACTTGTCTCTTTTTCTTTTTAACCCTTACTACAAGGGTAGGGTCTAAGATTCTGCATTTCCAACAAGCTTCTAGGTGATGCTGCTGCTGCTGATCCTTAGACCACACTTTGAGTACCAACTTCTCTACACTCCCCTCAGAAAGTGCTGGAGGTAGGCATGCAACTCACTGGAGTTCAACTCTAGGGGCTGGCCTGGGGAAGGGGAAGAAGTGAGGACAGAGGAACCTGCACACTGTCTTAGCCAAGTCTACTATTCCATCTTCTCTGAACACCCCACCAGCATTCTCTGTGCGAGGCTTTATTGCCTCCAGCTTTAAATCATGCCTTCCTTGTTCTCTAACAAGAAGCACAAACATTTTGAAGCAGAAACAACATTGTTTTGGGTAATATTTAAAGACGTGTCTTAGAAGAAACCCTCCTTTATTCTAAGACACAATCCTATCTCCACCTACATTACTTGCCTTTCACAATGCCTTGCCTTAATTCTTTGATTTGACACATCAGCTCATATAAGATATTCTCTAATTATATCTAGCTTCCCATCATTAAGCATCAATTTGTATTAAATTTGTTTATAAAGAAACTAATAGAATATGTTAGCTATTTTTTTCTAAGATAGGGATCTCCAACGTAAGTTACACAAGCTGCAAATATGGGTTTGATTCATTCATTCATCCATTATTGTTCAACATCTACTATGTTCCAGGCACTGAGCTAGGTTTGCTGTCATGAGCCTTATGATTCCATTCAGAAATCAAAACACATGATATTATGCATATATGTATACTTACAAATTTACATATATTTACATATATTAATGTGCACATATTTTATGCATAAATTTACACATATTTACATATATTAATGTGTGATACTACAAAACACCGTATTTTATATAATTGAATACATTTAGCTTACTTAGTTTTAACCTTTGTGCACTAATTCAGATGCTATGATATAATCCAGTAATTAATGTTGCTTCTCAATACAAAATCTCATTACGTTTAGTTAGCCTCTGCAGATATTTGCTCTTGTATGTTCCCATGCACACACAAAATCTTCCCTCACTTTTAGTGAAGTGAAAATGAATCCATTTTTATTAAATTTATCATCTCAAATGAAATGCTTGTCCTGGGCCACATTGTTGGGCTTTAATTGGCTTCCTTGTCTTACAAATTAAGTTTAAGACTTTGTCTCCAAATCACACATCACTTTCTCTCTCCCAATCTTCCTTAGAAAGTTACCAATTTCTGTGGCTGCAGAGTGAAGCCATTCCTCATGCTCACTCACACTTCTTTTTTCCCCTTTACTCTGTTTACTGTGTGTTAGGAGCTTGACATGCAATTTATTTTTATTCTCACAATAATCATGTCTAACAAAGTGTATCACTGTCTCCATTTTGCAGAGAGAAACTAAGGCTTAGAGCAGTGAAATACTAACTGCTAACCTTGGCAGGCCATGACATATATGTAGCAGGTATTATACTATGAAATTTACAGTATCGTCATTCATTGTTCACCCTGCCTATAAGAAGAATCATTTAATCATCTCCATGTTACAGAAGAAGTGTGGAGGCAGGAAGGGCTTAGTGCTTAACCCAAACTTACACATCAGTTACTGACAGAGCTGAGAGCCAACTCCAGAGCCTGGGCTCTTGCACAGGACACCTCCCAGTTCACCTGATGAGAGTCCCACAGCTGGAAGGAAGGTAGCAGGACCAGGACACCGAGGGCTGTCTGAGATCAAAGACCCTGAGCTCAGTAACTGTGCACATGGCTTCTTTCTTTAGAACCATCCTTCTAAATCCAAAGGATCCAAAGGATGGCTTTAAATATTTAACTTATTTTAATTGGATGGAACACAGTGCCCTGCTGCCTAGTACCTTGTAGTTAGGAAAAGGAAATAATAATCTGAGGACTGCCTCCTTTTCTGATTATCCTTATCTCTTCACCCACCAGCATCTGTGCCCATGAACTCTGCCTCTGTCCCTGCACCTACCCAGGGAAAACCCACCCCACTATCCTTCTCTCGCACTCAAGATCTCTACTCCTGCAGTAGTCCTCTTTCTCACCCATCCTCAGTTTATCCTTCCTTCCTGGGTTACCTCCACCATCTCACAAACAGGCTTTGATATCTCCTAGCTTACAAAAGCCCTCACATGGTCCCAGGTCCTGCCTCTTCCATTGTTCCACAGCCACTATCATACAATGTTTCTGCTCCCTTTTAAAACTGAGCTTACTTATGAGGTCATCTGTATCAACTGCCTCGAATTCCTGAATTCCAATTCTGCTTTTTAGCTCATTTCAAATCAGACTTACGTCTTTTCTATTGCCTTAGGTCCATCTGGGTAGTTAAAATACCATAAACTAAATAGCTTATAAACAACAGAAATGTATCGCTCATGATTCTGGAGACTGGGAAGTCCACGATCAAGGCACAAGCATATTTGGTGTCTGGTGAGGACTCGCTTTCTGCTTCATAGATGGTGCCTTTCACTGAGTACTCACATGATGAAACGGGCAAATAAGCTCTCTTGGGCCTCTTTAATGGGGACACTAATCCCTTGTAACCTCCCAAAGGCCCTATCTTCTCACACTACCACCTTGGGGATTAGGATTTTAACATATGAATTTAGGGGAACAGAAACATTCAGACAATAGCACCTATGGCTGCAAACATTTCTATAATAAACACTGTATTACTCTTATAATCAAAATATATACAATGTGTATATATAATACACTATTATATGTGACACTGTATATACACACATATAGATGGGTGTGTATGTATACCATAACCCAAAAATACTGTGACTCAATAAGACTATGGATATATGTCAATGCTACTAATGTTACGATCTATAATTCCTACACATCACTGATTCATGTGTCAGTCATGTCCATTCTTCATTCTTGAGACCGAACATCTCAATCTGTTTGAATCTGCTTCCAGAAGATTTTATACATATAAAAATTTATCATCAAGTCAGCATGAGCTCTTCTGACTTACTGGTGACCCTGTGACAGTCCCTTCCACTGCCTCAGTTCTTTCCATGCTCATCCACTGTGAACAATCTATCAATTGGCTTCCATTCCTTCCCCACATCATTGTTTGAAACAAAGCTTAGCTTATCCTTGAAATCACCATATTCCCTTTTGCTCGCTCCTCTCCAGAATTCCCCCTCATCCACTACCCAGACACACATAGAGGGGTGGGGCTGGCTCACCTCCACTGACAGCCATTTCTAGATGAACAATTAGTGCATCCAACTGCTTATTCTCTTGTGTTGTCCACACTCTCTTGTTATACTTCCTCTCAAAACCACCTACAGATCAACAGTGCATCCTCTACCATGAAGGAGCTGCCTTTATCTGAGAGGCAGATAAAGATGTGTGCACAATGGCAATGTAGGGTGAAAAACCTCAAGTCAGTGGCTCTCCAGGAGCACAGAGAGAAAAATAAACTTAGACTTGGGGAAAAGGGAGCAAGAAGAGACATCCCACACACACTCTGAAGCATCAGTGAAAACTATTAAAGGTAAGTCATGATTAACAACAGGAAGAGACACTCATGAGCTTGGGGGTGGATAGGGCAGAGCGGCCCCCTAGAGAATCTTTCTTTCAGGGTAGAGGGTAGAGTAGAAGTTAGGAAATAATGAGAAATGCAACTTGAGAATTAAGCAAAAATTAAATAACATACTGAGGAAACTAGTTTCATTTTCTCTTTTTAAGTCAATGGGGACTCTGATTATTTCAAACAGTGAAATAGATAATATTTACTTAGGGCTTACATTGTGCCAGTTACTATTTCCACAATACTACTGTGAGGTAGGTGCTATTATTTTTTTTCCATTTTGTAGATAAGAAAACTGAGAGACATAGAAGCCAAGCAATTTTGAGCCAGCTAGGAAGTGGCTTAATTTGAATTATGATTACATTTTCATTTCAGAATGATAAAGGGATGTTTCTCATTTTTGAATTGCACCTGTATGACATACAGGAGACTAGGGTAGAGATATGGAAAAGTGGGGAGAAGCAGAGGACCTCAGTTTTGCTATTCTGGTTTTGGAAGTATAGGATGAAAACCCATGTGGAGCTGTCCAGCTGGAGATATAGATGTGGACTAGGGGAAAATGTCTAAGCGGAGGCACAGATTTGAGTCATTGGACTGAAGGTCAAGTTAAGTAAAAAGGAAAAAAATTCTGAACCAAACTTTGGGAGGTGGGCAAGGAAGGAAATCATCACTTTGCAGTAGATAAAAGAAGAAAAGCAAAACAAGAAAAAGAAGAAAAGAAGAAGAGAGAGGAAAAAAGAGAAAGAGGCTGATGAGATGAAAGAGGAGATTCAAGAAAAGAGAGGTTCCTTCGAATCCACGAAAATAGAGAATTTCAAAAGGTCAATAGTAACAAAATTTACAGAGGAGTAAGAAAGTTAAAGACCAAAGATTCTTGAGGGCTTATCAACTAGAAGGTCTTTACTCATTCTGGCAACCACAGTTGGAGTGATGTGGTGAAACTGCAGTGGGTTGAGGAGGTGAAGAGAAGATGAAGGAATTGAATTGGATAAATGGGGTCACGGATGGTGAGAGGAAGAGAAGGTAGGTGAGACTGAAATCAATGGAGAGCCTAAGAGGAGGTGTTTGTGTTTTCTTTATAAATCAAACATTTAAATATGAAAGACAAATAATCAAAAGAATTAAAAAGTGTGAAGACACAGGAAAGGGCAAATATAAAACTGATGTACAAAGGGATAAGATCCACATTTCTTTGTGGTGTCTTCTGAGTCTATCCTTTCCTCACTCCCATTCGTAGTTTTCCTTGTTTAGTCCTTCATCTCTTCTTACCCCAGAAAAGCGACCTATCTATGCATTTCCCCACCTTCAGTCAATTTCCACATATTGTTGCCCAGTTAATTTTCCTTAATGTTATTCTTCTACTCAAGCTTTTTCAGTGTTATTCTGCTACTTTTAGGGTAAAATCAAAGTTCCTTAAGTTATACAAAGTCATTCTCATTCTGGCCTTGTCTGCCTTTCCTCATCCTCATAACCCACACACCCACATCCACACACGTCACAACTCTGAAGCTATCACTTGCATTCAAATTCCTACCCATGATCCCTTGCAGTGCCCTCTTTCTGCCTATATAAATCCTGCCCTTTCTCAAGTCTCATATTATATAACCTTCTTATAGAAGGGTATCTCTATGTCCCTGAAGCCACATATTACCTTTTATTCTACCTTAGCATGTCAATTAACATGTCACTTTCATGAACATTTTCCAACAGTGCGTATATGTGCCTATTACTGTGAAAAGCATCCAAACGTGCTAACAATATAGACCATGACAACTTGGTTACATAACTTATATCCAGCATCATACTTAACAGCCATAGCATTTTAAAAAATACGTGTATAGCTTGTCATTAAAACTGGATTGCAAGCTCTTCTTTCATACACATAGGCTGTGTATTAAAGCATCAGAACAGATCAGCTAAATGGTCTGTCTCGAGAACATATAACAGGAATTGAATAGCTATTCTGCTGAAAGGACATGTCAAAATTGGATAGGGTTTGCAGTCTCAGAATACTAAGAAACTGTGTAAATTGAATTTTATTTTTTCTGTGAGACTCTAGATTGTGAGTATTGCACATGCATTGCTTTTTCTTTTGATCAAATTGTAAGTTCTTTTTTTCAAGGCATTCTTCTATGTGCTTTGAATTTATTTCTCTTTACACTTGGCATGTATTGTGCATGTTGTTTAGTACAAATGTTATGCTTTAATTTTCAAGTCTGTTTCCAAAACTTTTTCACTGTAAGCCCAAGAACTCTCTCATTTCTCTTGAATGTAACTTAATTTCTCCATGTTATGGAACTATGTTAAAAACTCTCTTTTAGTTAAAAAGTACCACCTACAAACTTTGAAGCTGTATTTTTTATGAAAGTAACCACCTCTATTATTTCACCTGATTACTCCTGGTTCTCTATGGCCGTTCTTTTGTTACATTTTTTTGTAGTCATTCCATTAGATTTAGTTTATTTTTGATGTCCATATTTTGATACTATTTTTGTTTTTGATATAAACACTATTCTATAATACATTTTGATACCTTAACCTATCCTAGCTTTTCTGCGTTGTGTTTGTTTTGTGTATGACATCACATAGGTATTTGTTTCTCAAATGTTTCTTTTATTTAAAAGTAACATCTATTATTTTGTTTCATTTTTTGTTCCTGATTTGGATTTTCTTTTCTTTTAGTCCACATGTTCCTTTGATAATTTAAGCATGGCTTCTTTAAAATGCATCGTTTTCATTTGGGCCATCTGAAAAGGTGAATATTGGTTTTTAATCTGTGATCATATAATGTACTACAATATCACTAGAGGACTATTGCATTTACTATCTCCATTGAATGTGCCATTTCGAACCTAACTATAAGGCTTCCTACATATTGTCCCACAGTGCCCTGGTGTTCAAGAGAGAAGCCAGTACCCTCAGACTACAGTGTCTGGCAGGGCTTGGGCAGG
Organism: Homo sapiens; assembly: GCF_000001405.40. NCBI lineage: Eukaryota > Metazoa > Chordata > Mammalia > Primates > Hominidae > Homo > Homo sapiens. The sequence goes on along the minus strand of NC_000001.11, from coordinate 239,645,235 downwards.
GGCCCTAGTCCTCAGAGGCAGCCATAGCTGAGCGCATCTGGTGCAGTGCCTAAGGTCTAGTCCAGCTGCAAATACGATGGGGACACTTGGCTCCTGCTGCTCTTCCATGATACTCTAAGCACGGCTGAGGGCGGCTCTGCCATCCAGATATCAAGTTCAGTGCCCAGCCATAGACTGCTCTGCCCATCACAGACAAGGGGCTGTGAGCTGATGGAGGAAGTAGCAGTACAGGTTGAACACCAGGGAGCATGGTGTTCAATAGAGAGGAGTGAGAGGTGGGAAGTCCAGGCTGGGAATTCCTGCTGAAGAAAGCTGTCTCAAGTAGGCCCACTTATCTGTCTTCACGTCAGGCCAATACTTCTGTCCAGTCCCCAGGCCATGGGACCCTGCTGGGCCCTGTGTATCACAGTCTTGTTACTCAAGTGCAGTCAGCTTCATCAACGTGCAGCTTCATCTGAAAGCTTGTCAGAAATACAAAAGCTCAGCCCTTCTGAATCACCATCTGTATTTTAATGGTGATTGTATGCACATGAGTGTTTGAAAAGCACAGTGTCAAAGAGTCCACTCCGGCTTTCTTCTCATCTCTCTCATCACAACCCTCTCCAAGGGACAGGCTGATAAGAATTTTGGTTGCTTCTAGACCAAGTTTCACATAACCAAGTCCCTGGAATTCTCTGCCCTAAAGCTCACAGTCCACCCCCATTTAAGGCATAGAATGATCTTTCACTGATGCATTCCCATTGTGCACCTGGAACTCAAATACATTTGTGATCAAGGGATAGGCATGACGACGTGGGGAGAAGTTGTTTGGACTTTCAGGCTAAGAGTCCACATGTAGGCTCTGAGGCTGAGGACCCTGGGGGAACAGGACAGAGCCAGGGGTGGGAAGACGGGTGGGTGGGAAATGGGTGTAGACCTAGGGCCTTCAATTGCACTTTTGTCCCTAGTCACTTAGTCTATTATCGACTTGTTCTTACAAAGCATCAAGGGTTGAATCTGCTTCTGTCCATTTGCAGCTGATATGCTCTTTTAGTGATTTCAAGCTATGTGCAGGGTGAGGGCTGTAAAAACATTTATGCCTTCTAAGAATTTTTCAGATACTTGATACTAAAAGGTTAGGATGGGTTCCAAAATCATTTGCCTTACCCCAAGAAGTTTCAACATCACATTTGTCAATGAAAGAAAGTAATAGCTGTTAGAATCTTTAAACATAATTTCAATTACAAGAAACTTCTGAATGGCTATAAAATAGGTTTTTACATTTTCTATCATCTACTTGTTCTTATAAAGCATCACACAGATAGTGACTATCAACACTTTGATGAGAAGATGGCCGAATAGGAACAGCTCCAGTCTACAGCTCCCAGTGTGAGCGACGCAGAAGACAGGTGATTTCTGCATTTCCACCTGAGGTCCCGGGTTCATCTCACTAGGGAGTGCCAGACAGTGGGCGCAGGACAGTGGGTGCAGCGCACCGTGCATGAGCCAAAGCAGGTTGAGGCATTGCCTCACTTGGGAAGCGCAAGGAGTCAGGGAGTTCCCTTTTCTAGTCAAAGAAAGGGGTGACAGACGGCATCTGGAAAATCGGGTCACTCCCACCCGAATACTGCACTTTTCCGACGGGTTTAAAAAAGGGCACAGCAGGAGATTATATCCCGCACCTGGCTCGGAGGGTCCTACGCCCACGGAGTCTCGCTGATTACTAGCACAGCAGTCTGAGATCAAACTGCAAGGCGGCAGCGCGGCTGGGGGAGGGGCGCCCACCATTGCCCAGGCTTGCTTAGGTAAACAAAGCAGCTGGGAAGCTCGAACTGGGTGGAGCCCACCACAGCTCAAGGAGGCCTGCCTGCCTCTGTAGGCTCCACCTCTGGGGGCAGGGCACAGACAAATAAAAAGATAGCAGTAACCACTGCAGACTTAAATGTCCCTGTCTGACAGCTTTGAAGAGAGCAGTGGTTCTCCCAGCATGCAGCTGGAGATCTGAGAATGGGCAGACTGCCTCCTCCAGTGGGTCCCTGACCCTTGACCCCCAAGCAGCCTAACTGGGAGGCACCCCCCAGTAGGGGCAGACTGACACCTCACACTGCCAGGTACTCCTCTGAGACAAAACTTCCAGAGGAACGATCAGACAGCAGGATTCGCGGATCACGAACATCCACTGTTCTGCAGACACTGCTGCTGATACCCAGGCAAACAGGGTCTGGAGTGGACCTCTAGCAAACTCCAACAGACCTGCAGCTGAGGGTCCTGTCTGTTAGAAAGAAAACTAAAAAACAGAAAGGACATCCACACCAAAAACCCATCTGTACATCACCATCATCAAAGACCAAAAGTAGATAAAACCACAAAGATGGGGAAAAAACAGAGCAGAAAAACTGGAAACTCTAAAAACAGAGCGCCTCTCCTCCTCCAAAGGAACGCAGCTCCTCACCAGCAATGGAACAAAGCTGGATGGAGAATGACTTTGACGAGTTGAGAGAAGAAGGCTTCAGATGATCAAAGTACTCCGAGCTACAGGAGGAAATTCAAACCAAAGGCAAAGAAGTTAAAAACTTTGAAAAAAATTTAGAAGAATGTATAACTAGAATAACCAATACAGAGAAGTGCTTAAAGGAGCTGATGGAGCTGAAAGCCAAGGCTCGAGAACTATGTGAAGAATGCAGAAGCCTCAGGAGCCGATGCGATCAACTGGAAGAAGAGGTATCAGTGATGGAAGATGAAATGAATGAAATGAAGCGAGAAGGGAAGTTTAGATAAAAAAGAATATAAAGAAACGAACAAAGCCTCCAAGAAATATGGGACTATGTCAAAAGACCAAATCTACATCTGATTGGTGTACCTGAAAGTGACGGGGAGAATGGAACCAAGTTGGAAAACACTCTGCCGGATATTATCCAGGAGAACTTCCCCAATCTAGCAAGGCAGGCCAACATTCAAATTCAGGAAATACAGAGAATGCCACAAAGATACTCCTCGAGAAGAGCAACTCCAAGACACATAATTGTCAGATTCACCAAAGTTGAAATGAAGGAAAAAATGTTAAGGGCAGCCAGAGAGAAAGGTCGGGTTACCCACAAAGGGAAGCCCATCAGACTAACAGAGGGTCTCTCGGCAGAAACTCTACAAGCCAGAAGAGAGTGGGGGCCAATATTCAACATTCTTAAAGAAAAGAATTTTCAACCCAGAATTTCATATCCAGCCAAACTAAGCTTCATAAGTGGAGGAGAAATAAAATTCTTTACAGACAAGCAAATGCTGAGAGATTTTGTCACCACCAGGCCTGCCCTAAAAGAGCTCCTGAAGGAAGCACTAAACACGGAAAGGAACAACCGGTACCAGCCACTGCAAAATCACGCCAAATTGTAAAGACCATCAAGACTAGGAAGAAACTGCATCAACTAACGAGCAAAATAACCAGCTAACATCATAATGACAGGATCAAATTCACACATAACAATATTAACTTTAAATATAAATGGACTAAATGCTCCAATTAAAAGACACAGACTGGCAAATTGGATAAAGAGTCAAGACCCAGCAGTGTGCTGTATTCAGGAAACCCATCTCACGTGCAGAGACACACATAGGCTCAAAATAAAAGGATGGAGGAAGATCTACCAAGCAAATGGAAAACAAAAAAAGGCAGGGGTTGCAATCCTAGCCTCTGATAAAACAGACTTTAAACCAACAAAGATCAAAAGAGACAAAGAAGGCCATTACATAATGGTAAAGGGATCAATTCAACAAGAAGAGCTAACTATCCTAAATATATATGCACCCAATACAGGAGCACCCAGATTCATAAAGCAAGTCCTGAGTGACCTACAAAGAGACTTAGACTCCCACACAATAATAATGGGAGACTTTAACACCCCACTGTCAACATTAGACAGATCAATGAGACAGAAAGTTAACAAGGATATCCAGGAATTGAACTCAGCTCTGCACCAAGCGGACCTAATAGACATCTACAGAACTCTCCACCCCAAATCAACAGAATATACATTTTTTTCAGCACCGCACCACACCGATTCCAAAATTGACCACATAGTTGGAAGTAAAGCACTCCTCAGCAAATGTAAAAGAACAGAAATTATAACAAACTGTCTCTCAGACCACAGTGCAATCAAACTAGAAGTCAGGATTAAGAAACTCACGCAAAACCGCTCACCTACATTAAACTGAACAACCTGCTCCTGAATGACTACTGGGTACATAACGAAATGAAGGCAGAAATAAAGATGTTCTTTGAAACCAATGAGAACAAAGACACAACATACCAGAATCTCTGGGACACATTCAAAGCAGTGTGTAGAGGGAAATTTATAGCACTAAATGCCCACAAGAGAAAGCAGGAAAGATCCAAAATTGACACCCTAACATCACAATTAAAAGAACTAGAAAAGCAAGAGCAAACACATTCAAAAGCTAGCAGAAGGCAAGAAATAACTAAAATCAGAGCAGAACTGAAGGAAATAGAGACACAAAAAGCCCTTCAAAAAATTAATGAATCCAGGAGCTGGTTTTTTGAAAGGATCAACAAAATTGATAGACTGCTAGCAAGACTAATAAAGAAAAAAAGAGAGAAGGATCAAATAGACACAATAAAAAATGATAAAGGGGATATCACCACTGATCCCACAGAAATACAAACTACCATCAGAGAATACTACAAACACCTCTACACAAATAAACTAGAAAATCTACAAGAAATGGATAAATTCCTCGACACATACACCCTCCCAAGACTAAACCACGAAGAAGTTGAATCTCTGAATAGACCAATAACAGGATCTGAAATTGTGGCAATAATCAATAGCTTACCAACCAAAAAGAGTCCAGGACCAGATGGATTCACAGCCGAATTCTACTAGAGGTAAAAGGAGGAACTGGTACCATTCCTTCTGAAACTATTCCAATCAATAGAAAAAGAGAGAATCCTCCCTAACTCATTTTATGATGCCAGCATCATCCTGATACCAAAGCCGGGCAGAGACACTACCAAAAAAGAGAATTTTAGACCAATATCCTTGATGAACATTGATGCAAAAATCCTCAATAAAATACTGGCAAACCGAATCCAGCAGCACATCAAAAAGCTTATCCACCATGATCAAGTGGGCTTCATCCCTGGGATGCAAGGCTGGTTCAATATATGCAAATCAATCAAGGTAATCCAGCATATAAACAGAAACCAAAGACAAAAACCACATGATTATCTCAATAGATGCAGAAAAGGCCTTTGACAAAATTCAACAACCCTTCATGCTACAAAATCTCAATAAATTAGGTATTGATGGGACATATCTCAAAATAATAAGAGCTATCTATGACAAACCCACAGCCAATATCATACTGAATGGGCAAAAACTGGAAGCATTCCCTTTGAAAACTGGCACAAGACAGGGATGCCCTCTCTCACCACTCCTATTCAACATAGTGTTGGAAGTTCTGGCCAGGGCAATTAGGCAGGAGAAGGAAATAAAGGGTATTCAATTAGGAGAAGAGGAAGTCAAATTGTCCCTGTTTGCAGACAACATGATTGTATATCTAGAAAACCCCATTGTCTCAGCCCAAAATCTCCTTAAGCTGATAAGCAACTTCAGCAAAGTCTCAGGATACAAAATCAATGTACAAAAATCACAAGCATTCTTATACACCAATAACAGACAAACAGAGAGCCAAATCATGAGTGAACTCCTATTCACAATTGATTCAAAGACAATAAAATACCAAGAATCCAACTTACTAGGGATGTGAAGGACCTCTTCAAGAAGAACTACAAACCACTGCTCAATGAAATAAAAGAGGATACAAAGAAATGGAAGAACATTCCATGCTCATGGGTAGGAAGAATCAATATCGTAAAAATGGCCATACTGTCCAAGGTAATTTATAGATTCAATGCCATCCCTATCAAGCTACCAATGACTTTCTTCACAGAATTGGAAAAAACTACTTTAAAGTTCATATGGAACCAAAATAGAGCCTACATCACCAAGTCAATCCTAAGCCAAAAGAACAAAGCTGGAGGCATCATACTACCTGACTTCAAACTATACTACAAGGCTACAGTAACCAAAACAGCATGGTACTGGTACCAAAACAGAGATATAGATCAATGGAACAGAACAGAGCCCTCAGAAATAATGCCGCATATCTACAACTATCTGATCTTTGACAAACCTGAGAAAAACAAGCAATGGGGAAAGGATTCCCTATTTAATAAATGGTGCTGGGAAAACTGGCTAGCCATATGTAGAAAGCTGAAACTGGATCCCTTCCTTATACCTTATATGAAAATTAATTCAAGATGGATTAAAGACTTAAATGTTAGACCTAAAACCATAAAAACCCTAGAAGAAAACCTAGGCATTACCATTCAGGACATAGACATGGGCAAGGACTTCATGTCTAAAACACCAAAAGCAATGGCAACAAAAGCCAAAATTGACAAATGGGATCTAATTAAACTAACGAGCTTCTGCACAGCAAAAGAAACTACCATCAGAGTGAACCAGCAACCTACAAAATGGGAGAAAATTTTCGCAACCTACTCATCTGACAAAGGGCTAATATCCAGAATCTACAGTGAACTCAAACCAATTTACAAGAAAAAACCAAACAACCCCATCAAAAAGTGGGCGAAGGACATGAACAGACACTTCTCAAAAGAAGACATTCATGCAGCCAAAAAACACATGAAAAAATGCTCATCATCACTGGCCATCAGAGAAATGCAAATCAAAACCACAATGAGATAACATCTCACACCAGTTAGAATGGCAATCATTAAAAAGTCAGGAAACAACAGGTGCTGGAGAGGATGTGGAGAAACAGGAACAATTTTACACTGCTGGTGGGACTGTAAACTAGTTCAACCATTGTGGAAGTCAGTGTGGCGATTCCTCAGGGATGTAGAACTAGAAATACCATTTGACCCAGCCATCCCATTACTGGGTATATACCCAAAGGACTATAAATCATGCTGCTATAAAGACACATGCACACGTATGTTTATTGCGGCACTATTCACAATAGCAAAGACTTGGAACCAACCCAAATGTCCAACAATGATAGACTGGATTAAGAAAATGTGGCACATATACACCATGGAATACTATGCAGCCATAAAAAATGGTGAGTTCATGTCCTTTGTAGGGACATGGATGAAATTGGAAATCATCATTCTCAGTAAACTATTGCAAGAACAAAAAACCAAACACTGCACGTTCTCACTCATAGGTGGGAATTGAACAATGAGAACACGTGGACACAGGAAGGGGAACATCACACTCTGGGGACTGTTGTGGGGTGGGGGGAGGGGGGAGGGATAGCATAGGAGATATACCTAATGCTAAATGACGAGTTAATGGGTGCAGCACACCAGCATGGCACATGTATACATATGTAACTAACCACATTGTGCACATGTACCCTAAAACTTAAAGTATAATAATAATAAAATTAAATTAAAAAAAAGAAAATTCACAAAGAAATACAAATTCCCCAAAAAAAAAAAAAAGAAAAATGTGAAGCTCACAGGAGCAGTCAGGTGCTGCTATGATGGGATTTGGCAACCCCACGGTGTTGTGTGGGGTTGACCTTGGGACGAGTGAAGAGCAAAGGCTTTCAGACTCACTACTCTTGGTAATAACAAATGCTGTTAGCAAGTAATAAAAGAGCATTTCACCAAAAAAAAAAAAAAAAAAAAAAAAGACTTTGATGAAAGGAAAACCATACAGTAAATATCAAAAGCCTTAAAAATTTGTGTACCATTTGATCAAGGAATTTCATTTCTGGGACTATATTCTAAGGAAGATATTCAGTGATATGTGTAGAAAGTTATTAACAATGATCTTCATCAATATTAAAATTTTTAACGTGAAATACTGGAAATGATCAGGAATATTTATGTATGCTATAGAATATTATGCACATTTTCTACGCATATAAACATAATGGTGTTTAAAAAGAATATTTAGTGATGTAGTAACATGTTAGAGCAGAAAATAAATTTACAAAACCAAACAAAAGACTTTGATAAGACCATTGATCAAGAATTACAGGTCATCATTTCTGTATACCTGATAATATAAATGTATATATAAATGTATACTTCTCATTAAAATCTTTGAAAAGACTTTATTTGGAAGTTCTATATAAATTCAATACTTACTATTCCTCCCAATACTTTTTATTTTCTCTTCCTTTAATACCGAGGATACAAACTGAACTTCTTTCACAAAATTTCATATAGATACTCCAAAATCCTATCCAATGTGCCATCCAAATATTGCCATTTTATGTGCATAATAAAGTGGAAAAGCATAACAAGTATGTGGCCAGCCACACACACAGCTGATGAAGAAAAGCTGAGGTACCCAAAGCAGGCAGGGTTGGGAGGGATACTACTGCACATTACATGTAGCATGTTTTTGGATCACAAGAATCTACTGCTTCTGACTTTTATTAGACGCACATTCATTAATAAAGTGGGTGCCCTTCCTTTGCACAATTTTAAAAACAGATTTTTCTCCTCAACAGATCAGCTTCCATTTTTTTAACATTTTCCAAACATATAATTATCATCTTCCAAAGACCCAAAAGTGCTGTCAATGTGACAGAAATCAGAATGTAAATATTTTACAAACAGCTGTCAAATCTCAATCGGCAGCAAAGATAAAGCCCCAGAATTGCTGTAATGTAACCACGAGGCTATATCATTTAATTGACAGATAAGACGTTTTTCTAGTTTTCATTTTCCTGTCAGTATTTTTAATACATTAACACCCTGTGCCATTCTGGATAGTCACTGTGACAATTCCCTTGAAGACAGAATAAACTCTGAAATGTGCTAAGGGAAATGCCTGGCACAGTGACTGACTTTTGTTTCACGGGATATTTTTCACAGTCATTGTTATCTGGAATGTTTGTTACTAACATGGATTAAATACTGGCATCAAGGGAATATTATCATGCCCATAAAAACAGGGAAAATTTTGCTCTTTGCAGTTCAATAATTTATTATTTCATTCTTTCGGGCCTTCATTCAACAAACATTTCTCATTGTGCATGCGCCAGGTTTAGCCAATAAATCTATGTAAGATCCAAAGAACGGAGCCCTGTCGCCCAATATTATAGATCAGAAATGCCACTGAGTAAAGATCCCTGAAACAGTCCCACCCAAGGATTTACCACTATTTTCTATTTATACCACTGTCTGTCCTTCTGTTCTTCTTCCTAGATTGTTTCTTCATCTTTTTCTCTGTTTTCTTTTTCTTTTTCTTCCCATCTAAGCAAAAGACACGTTGGGGACATCTATAAGAATTGCTTAATTTCTTTTAAGATATTTAACGTAGGGCATTTTCTGACTCTATATTCATTTACTCAACAAACATTTACTAAGCCTCTTGCAGGGGGCAGGCATCATTATAAGTATGGTGGTTTTGGCAGTGAAGGAAACAGACAAGGCCCTGCCCTCATGGGGCTTAGATGATATTATAATGGGAGATAAACGACAAAATATAAACAGGTGCGACAGAATTCGTCATGTCTTACCTAAGTCCCTTAAGTTACATATGTAAGTATTTTGTCCATAAGTGGTTATTTTCGTATGCCTTAAGAAATAAAACTTCCAGTCTTTAAAGGGAATTAAACCTGGGTGTCCAGGACAGTGGTTATTTAGAGAGCGGTTAGGAGAGGTCTTGGCAGTTGAGATTTGACTGGAAGGGTCAAGTAGTAAACAAGAGCCAGGGGATCAGTGCCAGGCCCCTGAGGGCAAAGAACAAAGAGAAATATTCAATAAATAAAGACAGGGAGGCTTGGAGTGTAGGAAGCAAGAGAGAAAAGTACAAGTAGAAACCAGATCATATCAGATTTATAAGTCATGTTAATGCATTTGGATTTGATTCTAAATGTAGGGGAGGGAGTTGAAGGATTTTGAGAAGGTCTCAAATAGGAGAATAACAAGATCTGATGGAGGTTTCCCAAAGCAGACGCTGGCTGTGACAGAATGTAATTTTGTATGGTAAGAATGAAAGCCATGTTGACTAACATGAAGCTAATGCCATTGTCCAGGCAAGACAAGATGATGACTTGGAGTAGAGTCATAACAAAAGAGACAAGGGATTCAGGATGTATTTGGAAGAAATAGAAGGAAAAGGAAAATAACTGGTCACTCTTAGTTTCAATGGCCAGAAATAAAAACTGTAGCTTTGAATAGATATCAGAGTATTTCCCTGCATTAGCAATGGAGACCCAAGGAGGTAAGCTATTATTTTGTACTAACAGCATATCAGAATAACTTATACCTTCAATTTACAAATAAGCAGCAAAGGTCCAGAGAGGTGAAATGGCTTTTTATAATGCCAAAAATTGCTAGGCTATCCCCTGCATTTCCAGTCTCTTATTTTCCAGCCAAAAGATTTTTCCATTATCCAGCTCCCCCATCCCCCAAGTCAGCTCCGTGCCTTACTCAATGCCTTGTATAACTTTCTTCGGAAAGAAATTTCATTATATGACTTAGTTTTTAACCTGTATTTTTTTTTCTGAACCAAGTCAACAAGAGTGAATTAATGAAGATTGTTAGGCGGAGAATACTTAATTCTATGATTGTTGGGTAAAAGCTGAGTTTTGGTGACCATATTTTGACCATTAGTTCTAAACTTTTATTTCAAAAAAAAAAAGAAAAGAAGATGCTCAGAATTAATATTTCCTTTACCAGCTTTCATAGGCAATTCCAATATAAACTGATTTTCCCAAATCAGATCTGTTTTTCTCTTTTTCTTTTCTGTTCTTTTTTTTCTCTTTTCTTTTCTTCTTTCTTTCCTTTCTTTCTTTCTTTCTTTCTTTCTTTCGTTTGTTCTTGCTTTTGCTCTCTATCTTTATTCCTTTCTCTCTCTCTCTCGTTTCTGTTATACAGGAATAGACTCAGTTCACTTAGTTTTACAAATGCAAAATATAATAGAAAGTCTGTGCTATTGAAGAGTATTGTATTCAAAGGGTTACTGAGCTGACAATGTCCCCTGACTAACTATAAAATGTAATCAGCAATAGCACAGGCTCCTGGAACCAGGCTGTCAGGACCAGCATCGAGGCAGCTGTGTACAGGGATCAGCATCTGACAGGTCCAAGTTCGAATCTCACCTGTGCCACTTACTACCATAGGACAAAGTTCACAGGACAAAGTTCTTAACATCTCAGAGCCTGTTTCCTCATACATAAAATGGAAATAAAAATACTCGACTTAATAGCACTGCTGCAGTGTTTAAGTAAGATAGGGTAATGTGTCCAGCATGATATCCAGATATGAATGTTACTGAATCAGCTAAGTCTACATTTGGCTCTGAGTGTCAGAAAACCTAATAAGCTCTTCTAAATTAGGGACTGTATGTGTCTCATGCAACAAGAAATCTGATGATGGGCTTGCCAGAGCTCAAGCTCATTTTATCTTCCTGCTCCAGTATCCCCAGTTCGGCTTTTGTTGCTGTGATTGCAAGAAGGGGTGGGTGGGGGAGGGGTGTGACTTCCTGATAGAATGATGGGATAAGAACAAAGAAAAACATTCTAAGAGGAATCTCCTCTTGAAAGTCTCTCCCCAGGGACCATGACTGAGAGCTCATTGGCTGTAGCTGGGTCACATGGCCACAGAAAAAAGAGTCTGGGAAGATGAGAATATTTTTTAGCTGGGCACTTTGCTGTCCTTACAACAGCAAGATTTTGTTAGGAACGAAGAGGGTAGTGATAAGGTTTGGCTCTGTGTCCCCACCCAAATATCATCTCGAACCGTAATCTCTATCTGTTGAGGGAGGGGCCTTGTGGGAGGTGATTGGATCATGAAGGTGGTTTCCCCCATGCTGTTATCATGATAGTGAGGGAGTTCTCTTGAGATCTGATGGTTTTAAAAGTGGCAGTTTCCTCCGCACCCTCTCCCCGCTCTCCTGCCGCTATGTAAGTCATGCCTAGCTGGGTGCGGTGGCTCACGCCTGTAATCCCAGCACTCTGGGAGGCTGAGGTGGGCAGATCATGAGGTCAGGAGATCGAGACCATCCTGGCTAACACGGTGAAACCCCATCTCTACTGAAAATACAAAAAATTAGCCAGGCATGGTGGCAGCGCTTGTAGTCCCAGCTACTCGGGAGGCTGAGGCAGGAGAATGGTGTGAACCCGGGAGGCGGAGCTTGCAGTGAGCTGAGATGGCGCCACTGCACTCCAGCCTGGGTGACAGAGCGAGACTCCGTCTCAAAAACAAACAAAAAAGACATGGCTTGCTTCCCCTTCGCCTTCTGTCATGATTATAAGTTTCCTGAGGCCTTCCCGGCCATGTAGAACTGTGAGACAATTAAACTTCTTTTGTTTATAAATTACCCAGTCTCAGGTAGTGTTTTTATAGCTGTATGAGAAGGGACTAATACAGGGGGATTGGATTTAGGGTAAGATGTTAGCAGTGTTTGCTGGATAGATAAAACATTATTAAGGATAACATCTAAGAAAGATTGAGCTTTTCCACAATGTTTCTGTTTATGTTCACAATCATATTTTGTACAGCATTCTGAAGAAGGGCAATCTAAATCCAGGGATAATTCTTAAGCTTCTAAGAATTAGACAAGCTATAAGATCCTATATATGTACTAATAATTCAAACATTTTGCAATATTTCAAAAAATTCCACATTGCTACAGTTAAATACAAATGTGCATTTGAAATAAAGTTAACTTATTTCAAATCTCAATCAACATCCCTTTATTTCTATTTTTAAACTGATGAGAAAATGAACACACTTAGCTTTATTAAGACACAAAAAATTGAGCATGACTAATGGTAACAATTGTACATCATGTTGAAAACACCAACTTATACATTCTTATTCCTTGTTAATCTGTTCTCACAGATTGGGCCATCAATCCCCCTTTTCAAGGAAATAGCTCAACTAGAAAAAGGATCTTACCTTATTGTACCTTAGCTGAAGTTCTGACTGTCATTTATTTGGCCACTAATCAGAACACAAGTGCTAGAAAAGAACAAACAAACAAACAAAAATATGGGATTAACAAATAACCAAGACCCTGGGAAAAAGAACATCAATAGGTTACACAACACGATTAGAGGCAATGGAAAAAAAATTACAGAATTTTTGAGTTGGAAGTGACTTCCCAGATCATGGTGCCTAACCTCATGTACCTGAAGAGGACGGAGAGGGTCAGAGAAGTTAAGGTACCCGTCACTGGAAAAGAAATGTATCTATTGACTTCCTCATTCTACAGCTCCTCACCTCCTGCCTGCCTAAGCTCCAGTTGCAAGGAAGGGAGATAGAGTGAGAAGAATAAAAATAAAGAAGTTGCTCATCTCTTCATTTTGCATGTAAGTGATGATTGCCTTTCTTCTCTTAGCAAATTGGCTAGTATGGTCTATGTTCAACAAGTATTCCATTTGCTACCTTCTCCCAGACACTATTCGAAATATACACATACAGTGATCTTACAATTAGCCCATTCTCATACAGGAAGAAAATGCAATCTTCATGAAAATCCCCTAACTCCACTTCAGACACTGAAGTTCACCTTTTTGAAGTGTACTGAGCCTGACAGCTAGGCCAGAATCTTAGGAAAGTACCTCCATTAGAAGGTTAACCTAGAGAAAGAAAAAGAAGTGCCAGGCTTTGCAGAAGAACAGGGGAACTGTGGCATTGTGAAGGATGTGGCTGAGTTCAGAGGGTCATGAAGGAATGGGAAATGCTTTGGAAGAACTTGAGGATGAGATCTCCTGATAAGGTGTGATTGAATTTTTTAAAGGAGGACCTTGAAGTTTGCACAGCATGGTGACGGTGACACCAAATGAAAAGAGGACTGAGAACAGACTGTAAGGTAAGAAGTAGAAGGATCCTAGAGGTGCATGTGGAGGGATTTTTCTCAGCAAGTGAGAGAGGAGCCTAGTGAAACCTCTGCGAGTGTCATCTGTGACAAGATCAGCACAGAGAAGGAGAGCAAACTTCGAGAGAGTTTTACAGCAATTGGATATGTAATTAACAATTTAAAATAGATTTGTATTTTATATATCTTTTAAAAGTATTAATATGCAAAGGATATGGGGGACAAGAGTAATTGCTCCTTCTTCAGTTTGAGAAGCACATTTATGCTCACAAGCATTGGTCCTCTGCTGCCCTGATATCCCTTCTTCCTCTCTTTAGCGCCTCCCTCTCCCTCTGCTATTGCTTGCCATGTTGGAACTGTCAATCACGGGATCCTCTCCCACTTTCAACAAGGGAGGGCAACTGACCCAAGCAAGGCCTCTCAGACTCCTCCTCTCCCAAGATCTCCTTCCCCACTGCTGCCCTCCCCCGGCCCTCCCTATCTGAGAAGTGTCTTATGGAAGGAAGGGCTGGAGCTATCATTCCATGAAATGCATGCACTTTATACCCTGGGCTGGGAAACTGAGGTTGAGGGTGTAAGTGACCATGGGTCACAACTTGAAATCAGCTCTGTCTGACTCTTTCCACTAACAGCCTTGCCTCTCTTACATAGCAGCACATTCTCAGGAAATAATATCTGTGTACCTAGAACTTCAAGAGTAAACTGAACTATATCAACACTCCCATTCCTACTATAGGAAATGAGGGTAAGTCATCAAACAACACTTCAGTGCAAGGATGTAGTCATTTCTCTCCCTCATCTCTATCTAACAAATAGACATTTTCTACCATTTAGGGCATGCTGATGAGCATACAATTCATCTTTCACTGCTAATATCCCTGTAAAATCTAATGGGTCAAAGGGCAAGTACTCAGTTAACTCCATTTAACCATGTGTCAGTCCTCTCACTGAAACCCACTGTCTTGTGCATAGTAGTTGCTCAGTAAATATTTACAGTAGATTTTATCATTAAAAGTAATAAATGCCCATTATTACAAACGCATTTGCCTAATTTACAATTAGGAGTCCCAACATTGCCTACATGTTGAAATTCAGATCATTTTAAATAAGTAAATACATATTATACAAAATTAAGTAGCACCATTAATGTTAAAACAGACATAAACACAACTGAATTTTATTGAAGTGTCTACTAATATCAATATCTTGTTCACTAAATGAATTGGGAGACAATAAATGAGATTGAACATCTTGAAGTTTCTCTGATTAAATTTCTCTAGTATCAGATTCAGAAAGACATTCATTCTGAAAACAAGCAAAGGAACTGGCTTTCATCCTAGCTGCAGATTCATTCTATTGAAAATTAATTGCATGTAACATTCATTTAGAGATGAGGTTCAAATCTCTAAGTACAGATGACAGTCTTCTCCAAAACCCAGTAAACATGGCTCAAAGGTCACATAATCAAACTAAGATTGGCAATTCCAGAGAATGCTGTCCTAATTATATAGTTAGCCAAATAAAGAAGAAAACAAAACTAGAGACAGAATAATTATGGAAGGCCAGATGAGAGGCTTCTTTCAACAGGTCAACAAAATATTACTCTGATTTATGATGTCCATAAAAAAAGGTAGGATATTTTGCTAACTTTTTAAAGTTGTACTGGCATGCCTTGGAAATATTGTGGTTTTGGTTTCATACCACCACAATAAAGTAAGTCACAAACATTTTTTGGTTTCCCAGTGCACACAAAAGTTATGTTTACACTATATTGTCATCAATTAGATGTGCAATAGCAATATGTCCAAGAAAGCAATGTACATACCTTAATTAAAAATACTAGGAGCCAAGATGGCCGAATAGGAACAGCTCCGGTCTACAGCTCCCAGCGTGAGCGACGCAGAAGACGGGTGATTTCTGCATTTCCATCTGAGGTACCGGGTTCATCTCACTAGGGAGTGCTAGACAGTGGGCGCAGGCCAGTGTGTGCGCGCACCGTGCGCGAGCCGAAGCAGGGCGAGGCATTGCCTCACCTGGGAAGCGCAAGGGGTCAGGGAGTTCCCTTTCCGAGTCAAAGAAAGGGGTGACGGAAGCACCTGGAAAATCGGGTCACTCCCACCCGAATATTGCGCTTTTCAGACCAGCTTAAGAAACGGCGCACCACGAGACTATATCCCACACCTGGCTCGGAGGGTCCTACGCCCACGGAGTCTCGCTGATTGCTAGCACAGCAGTCTGAGATCAAACTGCAAGGCGGCAACGAGGCTGGGGGAGGGGCGCCCGCCATTGCCCAGGCTTGCTTAGGTAAACAAAGCAGCCAGGAAGCTCGAACTGGGTGGAGCCCACCACAGCTCAAGGAGGCCTGCCTGCCTCTGTAGGCTCCACCTCTGGGGGCAGGGCACAGACAAACAAAAAGACAGCAGTAACCTCTGCAGACTTAAGTGTCCCTGTCTGACAGCTTTGAAGAGAGCAGTGGTTCTCCCAGCACACAGCTGGAGATCTGAGAACGGGCAGACTGCCTCCTCAAGTGGGTCCCTGACCCCTGACCCCCGAGCAGCCTAACTGGGAGGCACCCCCCAGCAGGGGCACACTGACACCTCACACGGCAGGGTATTCCAACAGACCTGCAGCTGAGGGTCCTGTCTGTTAGAAGGAAAACTAACAAACAGAAAGGACATCCACACCGAAAACCCATCTGTACATCACCATCATCAAAGACCAAAAGTAGATAAAACCACAAAGATGGGGAAAAACAGAACAGAAAAACTGGAAACTCAAAAACACAGAGCGCCTCTCCTCCTCCAAAGGAACGCAGTTCCTCACCAGCAACGGAACAAAGCTGGATGGAGAATGATTTTGACGAGCTGAGAGAAGAAGGCTTCAGACGATCAAATTACTCTGAGCTACGGGAGGACATTCAAACCAAAGGCAAAGAAGTTGAAAACTTTGAAAAAAATTTAGAAGAATGTATAACTAGAATAACCAATACAGAGAAGTGCTTAAAGGAGCTGATGGAGCTGAACACCAAGGCTCGAGAACTACGTGAAGAATGCAGAAGCCTCAGGAGCCGATGCGATCAACTGGAAGAAAGGGTATCAGCAATGGAAGATGAAATGAATGAAATGAAGCGAGAAGGGAAGTTTAGAGAAAAAAGAATAAAAAGAAATGAGCAAAGCCTCCAAGAAATATGGGACTATGTGAAAAGACCACATCTACGTCTGATTGGTGTACCTGAAAGTGATGGGGAGAATGGAACCAAGTTGGAAAACACTCTGCAGGATATTATCCAGGAGAACTTCCCCAATCTAGCAAGGCAGGCCAACGTTCAGATTCAGGAAATACAGAGAACGCCACAAAGATACTCCTCGAGAAGAGCAACTCCAAGACACATAATTGTCAGATTCACCAAAGTTGAAATGAAGGAAAAAATGTTAAGGGCAGCCAGAGAGAATGGTCGGGTTACCCTCAAAGGAAAGCCCATCAGACTAACAGCGGATCTCTCGGCAGAAACCTTACAAGCCAGAAGAGAGTGGGGGCCAATATTCAACGTTCTTAAAGAAAAGAATTTTCAACCCAGAATTTCATATCCAGCCAAACTAAGCTTCATAAGTGAAGGAGAAATAAAATACTTTATAGACAAGCAAATGCTGAGAGATTTTGTCACCACCAGGCCTGCCCTAAAAGAGCTCCTGAAGGAAGCGCTAAACATGGAAAGGAACAACGGGTACCAGCCGCTGCAAAATCATGCCAAAATGTAAAGACCATCGAGACTAGGAAGAAACTGCATCAACTAATGAGCAAAATCACCAGCTAACATCATAATGACAGGATCAAATTCACACATAACAATATTAACTTTAAATATAAATGGACTAAATTCTGCAATTAAAAGACACAGACTGGCAAGTTGGATAAAGAGTCAAGACCCAGCAGTGTGCTGTATTCAGGAAACCCATCTCACGTGCAGAGACACACATAGGCTCAAAATAAAAGGATGGAGGAAGATCTACCAAGCAAATGGAAAACAAAAAAAGGCAGGGGTTGCAATCCTAGTCTCTGATAAAACAGACTTTAAACCAACAAAGATCAAAAGAGACAAAGAAGGACATTACATAATGGTAAAGGGATCAATTCAACAAGAGGAGCTAACTATCCTAAATATTTATGCACCCAATACAGGAGCACCCAGATTCATAAAGCAAGTCCTGAGTGACCTACAAAGAGACTTAGACTCCCACACATTAATAATGGGAGACTTTAACACCCCACTGTCAACATTAGACAGATCAACGAGACAGAAAGTCAACAAGGATACGCAGGAATTGAACTCAGCTCTGCACCAAGCAGACCTAATAGACATCTACAGAACTCTCCACCCCAAATCAACAGAATATACATTTTTTTCAGCACCACACCACACCTATTCCAAAATTGACCACATAGTTGGAAGTAAAGCTCTCCTCAGCAAATGTAAAAGAACAGAAATTATAACAAACTATCTCTCAGACCACAGTGCAATCAAACTAGAACTCAGGATTAAGAATCTCACTCAAAGCTGCTCAACTACATGGAAACTGAACAACCTGCTCCTGAATGACTACTGGGTACATAACGAAATGAAGGCAGAAATAAAGGTGTTCTTTGAAACCAACGAGAACAAAGACACCACATACCAGAATCTCTGGGACGCATTCAAAGCAGTGTGTAGAGGGAAATTTATAGCACTAAATGCCTACAAGAGAAAGCAGGAAAGATCCAAAATTGACACCCTAACATCACAATTAAAAGAACTAGAAAAGCAAGAGCAAACACATTCAAAAGCTAGCAGAAGGCAAGAAATAACTAAAATCAGAGCAGAACTGAAGGAAATAGAGACACAAAAAACCCTTCAAAAAATCAATGAATCCAGGAGCTGGTTTTTTGAAAGGATCAACAAAATTGATAGACCGCTAGCAAGACTAATAAAGAAAAAAAGAGAGAAGAATCAAATAGACACAATAAAAAATGATAAAGGGGATATCACCACCGATCCCACAGAAATACAAACTACCATCAGAGAATACTACAAACACCTCTACGCAAATAAACTAGAAAATCTAGAAGAAATGGATACATTCCTCGACACATACACTCTCCCAAGACTAAACCAGGAAGAAGTTGAATCTCTGAATAGACCAATAACAGGCTCTGAAATTGTGGCAATAATCAATAGTTTACCAACCAAAAAGAGTCCAGGACCAGATGGATTCACAGCCGAATTCTACCAGAGGTACAAGGAGGAACTGGTACCATTCCTTCTGAAACTATTCCAATCAATAGAAAAAGAGGGAATCCTCCCTAACTCATTTTATGAGGCCAGCATCATTCTGATACCAAAGCCGGGCAGAGACACAACCAAAAAAGAGAATTTTAGACCAATATCCTTGATGAACATTGATGCAAAAATCCTCAATAAAATACTGGCAAACCGAATCCAGCAGCACATCAAAAAGCTTATCCACCATGATCAAGTGTGCTTCATCCCTGGGATGCAAGGCTGGTTCAATATACGCAAATCAATAAATGTAATCCAGCATATAAACAGAGCCAAACACAAAAACCACATGATTATCTCAATAGATGCAGAAAAAGCCTTTGACAAAATTCAACAACCCTTCATGCTAAAAACTCTCAATAAATTAGGTATTGATGGGATGTATTTCAAAATAATAAGAGCTATCTATGACAAACCCACAGCCAATATCATACTGAATGGGCAAAAACTGGAAGCATTCCCTTTGAAAACTGGCACAAGACAGGGATGCCCTCTCTCACCGCTACTATTCAACATAGTGTTGGAAGTTCTGGCCAGGGCAATCAGGCAGGAGAAGGAAATAAAGGGTATTCAATTAGGAAAAGAGGAAGTCAAATTGTCCCTGTTTGCAGACGACATGATTGTTTATCTAGAAAACCCCATCGTCTCAGCCCAAAATCTCCTTAAGCTGATAAGCAACTTCAGCAAAGTCTCAGGATACAAAATCAATGTACAAAAATCACAAGCATTCTTATACAACAACAACAGACAAACAGAGAGCCAAATCATGAGTGAACTCCCATTCACAATTGCTTCAAAGAGAATAAAATACCTAGGAATCCAACTTACAAGGGATGTGAAGGACCTCTTCAAGGAGAACTACAAACCACTGCTCAAGGAAATAAAAGAGGACACAAACAAATGGAAGAACATTCCATGCTCATGGGTGGGAAGAATCAATATCGTGAAAATGGCCATACTGCCCAAGGTAATTTACAGATTCAATGCCATCCCCATCAAGCTACCAATGACTTTCTTCACAGAATTGGAAAAAACTACTCTAAAGTTCATATGGAACCAAAAAAGAGCCCGCATCGCCAAGTCAATCCTAAGCCAAAAGAACAAAGCTGGAGGCATCACACTACCTGACTTCAAACTATACTACAAGGCTACAGTAACCAAAACAGCATGGTACTGGTACCAAAACAGAGATATAGATCAATGGAACAGAACAGAGCCCTCAGAAATAATGCCGCATATCTACAACTATCTGATCTTTGACAAACCTGAGAAAAACAAGCAATGGGGAAAGGATTCCCTATTTAATAAATGGTGCTGGGAAAACTGGCTAGCCATATGTAGAAAGCTGAAACTGGATCCCTTCCTTACACCTTATACAAAAATCAATTCAAGATGGATTAAAGATTTAAACGTTAGACCTAAAACCATAAATACCCTAGAAGAAAACCTAGGCATTACCACTCAGGACATAGGTGTGGGCAAGGACTTCATGTCCAAAACACCAAAAGCAATGGCAACAAAAGCCAAAATTGACAAATGGGATCTAATTAAACTCAAGAGCTTCTGCACAGCAAAAGAAACTACCATCAGAGTGAACAGGCAACCTACAACATGGGAGAAAATTTTCGCAACCTACTCATCTGACAAAGGGCTAATATCCAGAATCTACAATGAACTCAAACAAATTTACAAGAAAAAAACAAACAACCCCATCAAAAAGTGGGCGAAGGACATGAACAGACACTTCTCAAAAGAAGACATTTATGCAGCCAAAAAACACATGAAGAAATGCTCATCATCACTGGCCATCAGAGAAATGCAAATCAAAACCACTATGAGATATCATCTCACACCAGTTAGAATGGCAATCATTAAAAAGTCAGGAAACAACAGGTGCTGGAGAGGATGTGGAGAAATAGGAACACTTTTACACTGTTGGTGGGACTGTAAACTAGTTCAACCATTGTGGAAGTCAGTGTGGCGATTCCTCAGGGATGTAGAACTAGAAATACCATTTGACCCAGCCATCCCATTACTGGGTATATACCCAAAGGACTATAAATCATGCTGCTATAAAGACACATGCACACGTATGTTTATTGCGGCACTATTCACAATAGCAAAGACTTGGAACCAACCCAAATGTCCAACAATGATAGACTGGATTAAGAAAATGTGGCACATATACACCATGGAATACTATGCAGCCATAAAAAATGATGAGTTCATGTCCTTTGTAGGGACATGGATGAAATTGGAAACCATCATTCTCAGTAAACTATCGCAAGAACAAAAAACCAAACACCGCATATTCTCACTCATAGGTGGGAATTGAACAATGAGATCACATGGACACAGGAAGGCGAATATCACACTCTGGGGACTGTGGTGGGGTCGGGGGAGGGGGGAGGGATAGCATTGGGAGATATACCTAATGCTAGATGACACGTTAGTGGGTGCAGCGCACCAGCATGGCACATGTATACATATGTAACTAACCTGCACAATGTGCACATGTACCCTAAAACTTAGAGTATAATAAAAAAAAAAAATTAAAAAAAAAAAAACTTATACACCATGGAATACCATGCAGCCATAAAAAATGATGAGTTCATGTCCTTTGTAGGGACATGGATGAAGCTGGAAACCATCATTCTCAGCAAACTATCGCAAGGACAAAAAACCAAACACTGCATGTTCTTACTCATAGGTGGGAACTGAACAATGAGAACACTTGGACACAGGAAGGGGAACATCACACCCCGGGGCCTGTTGTGGGGTTGGGGGAGGGGGGAGGGATAGCATTAGGAGATATACCTAATGTAAATGACGATTTAAGGGTGCAGCACACCAACATGGCACATGTATACATATGTAACAAACCTGCACGTTGTGCACATGTACCCTAAAACTTAAAGTATAATAAAAAAAAACCTTTATTGCTAGAAAATACTAACAATCATCTGAGCCTTTATAGAGTTATAATTTTTTTTTTTTGGTGGAGGGTTTGCCTCAATGTTGATGGGTGCTGACTGATCAGGGTGGTGGTTGCCAAAAGCTGGGGAGGCTGTGGCAATTTTTTCAAATAAGAAACAATGAAGTTTGCTGCAGTGATGGACTCTTTCTTTTGTAAAAGATTTCTCTGTAGCTTGTGATGCTATACATCACATCCTCAAGTTGCATGTGATGCTGTTTGACAGCATTTTGTCCACAGTAGAACTTTTTAAAAATTGGAACCAATCCTCTCAAAGGCTGCTGCAGCTTTACTAAGTTTACGTAATATTCTAAATCTTTTGTGGTCATTTTAACAATATTCACAGTATCTTCACCAAGAGTTAATTCCATCTCAAGAAAACCACTTTCTTTGCTAATCCATAACAAGCAACTCCTCCTCCAAGTTTTATCATGAGATAGCAGCAAATCAGGCCCATCTTCAGGCTCCACTTTAAATTCTAGTTCTCTTGCTGTTTCTACCACAATGGTATTTATTCTTTCTTCATCGAAGTCTTGAACCCCTCAAAATCATCCATGAGGGCTGAAATCTACTTCTTCAAACTCCTGTTAGTGTTGATATTTTTACCTCCTCTCAAGAATCATGAATGTATTTAATAGCATCTAGAATGGTGAATCCTTTCTAGAAGGTTTTCAATTGACATTGCCCAGATCCATCACAAGAATCTATGGCAGCTATAGCTTTATGAAATGTATTTCTTAAAATAGTAAGACTTAAAAGCCAAAATTGCTCCTTGATTCATGGGCTGCAGAATGGATGTTATATTAACAGGCATGAAAACAACATTAATATCCTCCTTGTACACCCAAATGAGAGCTATTGGACGAGTAGATGCATTGTCAGTGAATAGTAATATTTTTAAATGAATCTTTTTCTGAGCAGTAGTTCTCAACAGTAGGCTTAAAATATTCAGTATATCAGGCTGTAAACAGATGCACTGTCATCCAGGCTTTGTTATTCCATTTATAGAGCACAGGCAAAGTAGATTTAACATAATTCTTCAGGGCCCTAGGATTTTTGAAATAATAAATGAATGTTACCTTCAACTTAACTAGTAGCTGCATTAGCTCCTAATAAGGAAGTCAGCCTGTCCTTTGAAACTTTAAAGCCAGGCCTTGACTTCTCTCTAGCTTTGAAAGTCCTAGATGGCATCTTCTTCCAGCAGAAGGCTGGTCGATCTACACTGAAAATCTGATGTTTAGTGTTGCCACCTTCATCAATGATCTGCACTTGCTGCTTCACCTTGTAATTTTATATTATATAGACAGCTTTTGTCCTTAAACCTCATGAACCAACCTCTGCTAGCTTCACATTCTTCTTCTGCAGCTTCCTTTCCTCTCTCAGCCTTCATAGAATTGAAGAGAGTTAAAGCCTTGCTCTAGATGAGGCTATGGATTAAGGGAATCTTGTGGTTGGCTGGATCTTCTAGCCAGGACACTCAAACTTTCTCCTCCATATCAGCAATAAGGCTGTTTTGCCTTCTTATCATTTGTGTGTTCACTGGAGTAGCACTTTTCATTTCCTTCATGAACTTTTCCTTTGCATTCACAACTTGGCTAACTGTTTGGTGTAAGAGGCATCACTTTCAGCCTGTCTCAGCTTTCCACATGGCACCCTCACTCAGCTTCGTTATTTCTAGTTTTTGACTGAGACATGTAACTCTTCCTTTCACTTGAACACTTAGAGGCTGTTGTAAGACTATTAATTGGCCTAATTTCAATATTGTTGTGACTCAGGAAATGGGGTGGAGGGCAAGGAGAGGAAAAGAGATGAAGAAATGGGTGGTTGGTGGAGCAGTCAGAACACATTCATTAATTACATTTATCAATTAAGCTTGCTATTTTATATGGGAGTGGTTTATGGCATCTCAATACAATTACAACAATAACCTCAAAGATCACTGATTCCAGATCACCATGTCATATATAATAATAATTAAAAAGCTTGAAATACTACAAGAATTACCAAAATGTGACACAGACACAAAGTGAGCACTTGGGGTTGGAAAAATGCTGCCAATGGATTTGCTGAAGCAGGGAAGCTACAAATCTTCAATCTGTAAAAATCACAATATCTGTGAAGCACAATGAACTGAAGCACAATAAAATAAAGTATGTCTCTACCCATTTCTTTTACTATTATCCTACCACTCATACGACTATGCATATGCCCTTCTCACGAAACAGTACTATATATTTCTCATCAATGCCTGTGAATCTAACTCTCTCTTTGTAAGAGAGAGTGAATCCACCTCAGCATGGATGTGCCCTATTCTTTTACTATTTATAGAATTATGGTTGCTTCCTTTTTCTTATTATAAACAATATAGCAATAGTAATCCTTTTGTGTGTGTATATAATATATATACATCCATTTTTAGTTCTATATTCCTAAAATTATGATTTATATGTTATAGAGTATTCATAGCTTAAATTTTGGTACATACTGCTAGATTACTTACCAAAACAGTTGTAGCAATTTTGTTTCCTATTTCCTCACCATAACTGGATATTCTCTCTCTCTCCCTCTTTCTCTCTATCTCTATCTCTTATCTATCTACCTACCCATACCTACCTATCTATCTCTATTTCTATCTATATATGTATCTACCTACGTATCTGATTTTTGGAAAGAAAAGTAGTGTTCACAGATGTATCTATTTATTATCTCTTGGGTCTCAAACACAGTCTTGCACCAAAGGCGGACTGAAAACAATCTTTGGCCAAGGTTCTGAGGTTGTGGCATTAAGAGGGAGATAATCCTTGAAAAATGTATTTTGAGAAAACAACAGTAACTATTATTCACAAAGAGAATTTTAAAAGACTCTGTCATATTGAGTAAAAACTACTACACGCTCCATTTAGTAAGTAGCTTTAACATGGAAAAACACATCCAGATCTAAAAGTCAATGCTGTTATTTTTCCCACAAAACTATAATTTTAAAAATGTCTAACTCACCAAATGGTTTCCTGTAATTTTTAAAGTTCAAAAAATATCTATAACAAAAGAAAAGGTCCAGTCCTGAAGCTCCTTGATTTTATAAATAATATCTTTAAAATACTATTCTTTAGCCAGAGATGGCTCCATTTAGATACTTGGAAATATTAATCACCCTTTTCTTCAGGTAACCTTTCAGCAACCCCAGCTCAGGTGACTTATAATTATAGTCCATGAATCTCAGCCTCTCCCTCCACCCCCACCCTGAATCCCACTCGTCTCTCACTCTCTCTTAAATCATAACATGAATGTGAAAGCTAGGGATAAGTAGTTCTTATTTTGGGTCACACCAATGTTACGGAGTTTGACCAAATAATGGTGTTTATGGGGGTTCGAGAAACCAATTTTAAAGGGGAAAAATGTACCTGTAGTTTTGATTCTTATAAAAGATATTCTTTTGGGTGCTTCCGCCACAAACCAGAAAAACAGCTTAAAGGACCACTATGAAATTTACAGTCCAATATCTCTCCATAATTGGGCCATCATTCTCATCAATTACACTTTGGAATTGATTAGAAAATGAAGAATCAGTAACAATATTGGCTCAGTTTAAAAGTCTGCAGGTAGATACATTCTTAAATACTAGAAAGTAGCTATATTTTGTTCTATATGTAGGACCTGCTTCTTTGGAGAATCGGTTTCGTTTTTACTGTTCACTGCAATGGCAGGAAGTCTCCATCCAGGGTCTTCAGCAGTGGCTGAGTGTGGACTTCAGGCAGTCCAGACTCAGGGCCTTGGTCTTTTCATGCACAGCCTGAAGTTAAAAACCAGTAATTTACCTCAGAGGAGTGATAGAATAACTATATGTTATAAAAAAGAGAAAGGAGGTCAGGCGCAGTGGCTCACATCTGTAATCCTAGCACTTTGGGAGGCTGAGGCCAGTGGATCACCCGAGGTCAGGAATTCAAAACCAGTGTGGCCAACATGGCAAAACCCCATCTCTACTAAAAATACAAAAATTAGCTGGGCATGGTGGCAGGCGCCTGTAATTCTAGCTACTTGGGAGGCTGAGGCAAGAGAATTACTTGAGCCCAGGAGGCGGAGGTTGCAGTGAGCCAAGATCCCGCCACTGCACTCCAGCCTGGGCGACAGAGTGAGATTCCATCTCAAAAATAAATAAATAAATAAATAAATCATAAAAAAGAGAGAGGAAATATGACATCTAAATGTCATCTTTACTTTTTTTTTTTTTTTTTTCTGACAGAGTCTCGCTCTGTCTCCCAGGCTGGAGTGCAGGGGCGCGATCTCGGCTCACTGCAAGCTCCGCCTCCCGGGTTCACGCCATTCTCCTGCCTCAGCCTCCCAAGTAGCTGGGACTACAGGTGGCTGCCACCACGCCCAGCTAATTTTTTGTATTTTTAGTAGAGACGGGGTTTCACCGTGTTAGCCAGGATGGTCTCGATCTCCTGACCTCGTGATCCGACCGCCTTGGCCTCCCAAAGTGCTGGGATTACAGGCGTGAGCCACCGCGCCCGGCCATCTTGACTATCTTTTAAGTGATAGGAATGTATATCATTTTTCCACGAAGATTCCTGTTTTCCAAGTTGTGTTTTTGTTTTAAATGGGCATATACTACATTCTAATTAAAAGGTGACTTGAAAACAAACCTCCTAGCAGATGAGGCCTGAGCTTCTCTCCGGACTAGACAGGGCCACCCATGACTGAAGCTGCATCAGCCTCTCTAAGCTTGCATTTCCCATTTGGGCTTCTAGTTTCCTCTGTGCCTTACCACTCTGCTTGTCATTAAAAAAAAAAAAAAAAAAGAAAGAAAAAAAAAGTACTCCTACTCTCTATTCACATGTCTATCTCTTTCACAGCATGGTGGGTAAAGACTGCAAGCCCCAAATGTGCCCTTAAGTTCACATCACTGCCCAGACAGATACACATTAAGACCAGGGAAAATACGTAATAAGTCACACCTGGGGAGTTTTTAACTGTACGCACTTCCCTGGGTGTTCTGCAGCCAAGCAAAACTCCTTAGAAACACAGTTGATAAAAAGAAAAAAGGAAACGTAACAACGGCAGGCAGAGAAGACTGATGAATGCTGCTAAGATACAGGATGAGCAGGATACTTAGCAATACTGCCAGGAAACAATAAAAAAGGGCTTACCAAATGCTATTTAAAGTAGGCACAAAAGGAACCTCCAGGGGCACACCACAGTGGTCATCTTACATACAGACTGTCATCACTTGTGAGCATGTGTGTGTGAAGAAGGCGACAGAAATGAATGTTGGAACTCTACACCACGTACAGTGTGTTGTATGATGATAAAAACTATAGATATTTTAATATCATATTGTAGGTTTAAATTTTTTCCAACATTTTATTGTCTTTATAAATGCAGTGGTGCCATCACAGCTCATTGCAGCCTAGAACCCCTGGACTGAAGTAATCCTCCTCCCTCAGTCTCCTGGGTAGCTGGGACTACAGACATGCGCCACTATGCCTGGCTAATTTTTTACATTTTAAATTTGTTTGTAGAGACGAGGTCTCACCATCTTGCCCAAGCTGGTCTCAAACTCCTGGGCTGAAGCAATTCTCCTCCCTCTGCCTCTCAAAGTGTTGGGATTGTAGGTGTGAGCTCCCACGCCTGGCCAAAAATTCACCCTTGCTGGTACTGTAGAGAGTCACCAGGACTGTCTGGATTTTAACTGATAAGTGACTAAGATGATAGGGTTTAGAGTAGGCAAATTCAAGCAATCACAAGACACTACCTAGACGGTTACAACATTTCCTAGATTCTACTGGATGTCCGAGGGCTCCACAATATTCGAGAAAGAGATATGGTGTTCAAATAAATTTGGAAAGTTCTGGGTTAAATACTATATTACCATTACTGTTATAATGGGATTACTCAGAAATGTCAAAACTGAGATGTGGACTGTGAATTTTCTAAAGGCAGTTATATTCTGATGCTTGCTTTTCTCAATTTTGTTTGACCATGTAGGGGAGCTATGCTAAATGATGCCCTGCACAAACAGTTCAGGATTCTTCTCTATATCAGTACAGAAAGAAACAAAATTATTCTTCAGAATCTAGCTTAGCTAAAAACTGAATGTGCTCTTGAGTCTAGATAAGTATTTGCCCAGATTTCATAGACTCTATACCATCGTAAAAGTAAATGTATCTTTCTAAGAAAGGAATGCTGCACTCTGCATTGCACAACAATGACTAATGGATTTGGAATATTTTTAAAAATCTGATAACATCATTTAGAAACACCTGTCTTCAAATACCACATTTTGAAATGTAGCCATGACATTCTTAGATATACTCTTGAAAATCTAATGAGCTCCTGAAACTGTATGTAGCTAAAATTTCAACCTCTTAAATATTTGGAAAGGTCAGTTTTGATGTGATGAATTATAATTTTGGCAATTCCTGTTGTACAGCTGTTCTCAGGAAATATAATACTGCTGGTACGGCAAACAACATATTTAATTGGATTCCCTCAAGTTTTTCTTGTAAAAAAATCTTTCAGAAAATGATCAAATGTCCTGAGTGAATACAGCTTTTTCCTGCTGGCTTAAGTGATATTTTTGATTAGTAAGTGGTTAATATTTACTGCTGAATAAATGCCTGCCTGGAACCAAGGACACCCTGGCTCTATAGATCAAAGGCACCGAGGAAGGGGTGCCTGAAAAGAAACTCCCAATTAAAAATATGTTTGCAAAGAACAGTTGCATGGTAAAATGTACTCTATGTTATGTTCAGCAAAACACAAACAACCTAGAGATAAGTTGTGTGGACATATCCACAGTCTTATAAACACAAATCTATACACAAAACAATCTTTAAAAAGACATATATTAAATTTAGGTTTAACCACACGAATTTGCTGAGTGAGGAGGTCAACAAGTCTATTAGCAGCAATTTCGTATAGTTCAACTTGCAGATCACAATGTTAATAGTGTTTACAACTTGCGGATTGATAATAATAGTTGTTTATTTGTTTATTTAAGGTTCTTTCATTTATTTTCCAAACTGTTCCTAACTAGCCATCACTGGTTTTAAATAACACTATTTTTTAAACAACGATAGAGGCAAAAGTATGTTGAGAGATTAGGTTGCTTACTGGAGAGGAAGAAGTAGAAGGAAGGCGCTGAGCTCTGATTTCAAAGTCATGTTCAAAAGTTATATAGAAAGTGGAATATCTCACTAGAAGAGTGGCATGTAAGAAAGTACCCTGGCTGAACCAAGTTTTAGGAAGAAACACCCGCCGCATTCAGTGTTAAAGACTGCCCTCCTTTTGGGTCCGAGTCATGGAACAGAAGGGTGACATCAATTACATCCAGGATGAGGCACTATGATAATGGAGATATTGGGGTGACATCAATTACACCTGGGATGAGGCACTATGATGATGGAGATCACTGGATTATTGATGTAGTAACATTCTTCTTTGTCACTTAAGATATTTTCCCTCTATTTGTGAGTATACAGATGAAGTTCCTACAAATATCTATCAAAGTTGTATAGTTGTTTATTGCTTGTGTTTACGGTTGAACAATGAATGCATTCTAATAACCAAAGCTACTGCCTGGTCTTCCTAAAACAGAAGCACTCTGGAGGATTCCTACCATCCCCCAGTCCCCATGCCAGATGACCAAAGGAAGTGTCACTTCTCCCACTTGGTGGGAGCCCCAGGGCTGTACAACGGAAGGAGTTTTTCCCACCCGATTTCTAGCTGATTACATGGAAGTACCTGTGTCTTCTCTAAGAAAAAGCTGCTTGGATCTTAGATCTAAGCGATTCTCAGTTCTTATAAAATAGAGATGCTCACCTTACATAAGTTTTTGAAAGCATGAAATAAAGTAGCATACATAAAGTGTATAGCAAATGTCTGGGACATAGAAAGTGTCCAGGAACCAGAAGTTACTATTTTTATATGACGAGAATGTGCCCAAAGGGTGGCTAGCACTAATATGCTTTTTCAAAGCCTGACCTCCCGCATCCTTTTTCTTCAGGGTATCTGCCCCACCTGCAAGCTCCATACCTGGCTTATTTGAAAGGCTATATGCTTTTTATTTGAGTATAATACCTTTGTATTCCATTTTCCTTTTATAAATTCCAACAATCCTACTGTGTATAAAATAAGCATTACTTTGAAACACATTTCCTGATTTTTTGGCAATTAGACACTCATCTTCTGGGATTGAAAAATACTCTAAATGTATATATATCTGCAATCCATAAAATCATTCCCACCTTTTGTGTAAATTAAAGCACACTGTTGTCCTTAAACCATATATAATATCAGCTATCCTGAAAAAATGTGTTTTGTTGGATAAGGTAAAAGCTAGGTTATTTAATTAGCTAAAAGCAGCAAACATCATTGGAAATCTGAGTTCCAAGGAAAGAATGGAGTTAGGAACTTACGTCCATTTTTCCTGGGCCCAGCATAAACCTATTTGGTAAATAAGCGTGAAAATTCTAACCATTATGTCCATGTCCTCCAAGAAAGACCTGACAACCATTATCCACATCATACACATAATATTAGTAATGAATCCTTAAACTAGGATTCTAATTTAAAATTTCATATTATATGTGCCATCGCCCATTTGGATCTTTGGGTTGTTCTCTTGGTAATACGATGTAACTGATGTTTTTATTTGTTTGGTTCTAAGGGACTGATTTGATTGTAAATATTTTAAAAATAAGCAGCCACTTTCCTACCTTCTGTATTTTTCAGAAGTCACACTCTCTGATTAATTTTTGAGAAACGTAACTAATCACTAACTCACAAAACTTGGTCTCTAGGAAAGCACAGGCAGGATACAGGAATATCTGAATTACCCTGCTCTTTTGTTTTTCTCTTAAATGCGAGCTTGTATCCTTCTAAAATTTGTTATTATTATCATTATTATTAGAGACAGGGTCTCATTCTGTCACCCAGGCTTGAGTGCAGGGATGCAAACATAGCTCACTGTAGCTTCAAACTCCCATGCTCAAGAGATCCTCTAGCCTCAGCCTCTCAAGTAGCTGGGGCTGCAGGTAAACACCACCACACTCAGCTAATTGTTTTATTTATTTTATTTTTTTTGTAGAGAGGGGTATTTCACTATGTTGTTGAGGCTGGTCTCAAACTCTTGGCCTTAAGCAATCCTCCTGCCTTGGCCTCCCAAAGTGCTGGGATTACAAGTGTAAGCCACTGTGCCCAGCCCATCCTTCTTGATCACTGCTGTCAGTACTTTACATCTCTGATTAATGACTGGAGTCATTACTGCGGGTTGAGTGTATGTGAGAGGAAACAGAGACACAGAAGGTGAAAAAGAGAGTAAGTCAGAATGAGACAGATAAATAGAATAAGAAACACACACATGCAGAGGGAAGACTGCCGGGGGAGAGACAAAGACAGGTACACATACACAGATACACAATGACAGATATTTGTTTTACTTCTCCCAAAGCACTTACCCTATGGAGCCTTTGCTTCCACTCCCCTTGTACCTGCAGACCTTTCATCATCTGACATTTAGGCTTCTCCTTTTTGTCTGTGTGTCTGGGATGCCGACTATGAATTCTGCTTCATTATGTGGTACTTGAGATTGGGACAGGTTTCAAATACACACGTTGTGTGAGCATCATTTTTCTATAACTACAAACCCTATATTTAAATATGCATATAGATGTAACATTGTTTTTATTCTTTTCTTTAAAGAAATCACATATTGCAGTTTGCTGCTCTGAAGTTACTTGTTCTGCTCCAAGTCACTAGTCATTTGTTGAAGATAAGCTCTAACAAGGCAGAAACAGCCTTAAGGATGATCAAATGTTTGGCCTTTGCTTGTGCACACCCTACATGCAATCTGTTCTTGGTTTAGCAAAATCTTGGGCTTTGTGAAACATCACATCATCTCTTCACTTCGCTGCTTAGGTCCTCCTAAAAGTGCTGGGAGAGCCATATGGAAAATGATGAGGGGCATCCCAAATCACATCTGCCCCATTTGCCATATAGTTTTCGGCAGCAGTCTCCTAATCTTAGGGCCAACAAAGAAAAATAGCATACACAGTCAGGGTTTACTTAATGCCAGGCAGTTTTCATTAATTACCTCATGAAATTCTTAGAATAACTCCATAGTTAGGGGAGTATTCTTATCATCCTGTAATTGAGAAGGGGAAACTGAAGTCTGAAAAATTTAAGGAGCTTCCTCAAGATGGCCCCATTAGCAAACCAGCAGTGGTAGTGTGTGAACCTGGGCTGTCCAGCTCCAGAGCTGGAGCTCCTGATCAATACGCAGTTCTACGCAGCTGTTTGGTGAGTCCATCCCACCTCACTTCAGAAGGACATACACAGTTGAGAGGAAGCTCCTGTAAGAACTGTGATATGATGCTCAGCATCCTTTTAGGTGCATGTCTGCAGGGAATGGGAAAGAAAGCCTGGAGAAGAAAACTAGCAATTCACTGCTTCTTGGAGTGCAGGAATGCTACCCTGTCCAAGTTGACATTTCTCAGTGCTTTGTGAAAAGTGAGGTTGGCAAGCAGTGAGAACAGGCCGGTGTCTATTTATCTGTGGATTTGATTGCTTTTTTTCTTATCTGTCTGAAGAGGAGGGCATGCAATTCACAGAACAGGGAGAAATATTTTCTGATTTAAGGAAAAGCTTAAATTGTAAAGAACCCTTTGCAAAACTCAGAATGTCCTGAAATCCTTAGTTTATGGAGGTGACAATTCAGTAAACAAAAATGCACATTTCAGCTACATAGCAGTTAATAAAAATACCTAAGAAAAATTAAGCAAAAACTGGTTAAATATATGATATTTGTCTTGTGATATATTAATTAAAATAAAAATTAAAAGTATGGCACATGTCATGTAAGACTCTTCCTTTTAAGAAGATTGGAGCAACAGAAATTGTGATTGCCCCTTTGAAATGATGAAATGCTGAGATCTAACAAAAAAAGGCGTGGTGCTTCCATCTCTGAATATCTTTAAGCAGAGAAAGAAAAGAGATTGCCAGATTCATGGGGAGATGAGAAAGCAGAGAGCTAGATTAAAGGCAGAGCAACCTGAGCTCCCCAGCTCTGTGATCCAGCAGTTATTTTATGAATGAGTCTATGTACATAAACTCATTTACATAAGTTAGAATCATACATACTGTAGTTAGAATTATTAAAATCTATTAAAATTGTGTTATTCACTTCATTTTTTTGTCAGTATCAGAAACTTCTTAATTATAACATTGGTAATATGCTTTTGGTGTCTGAATTGTCATGTTATAGAACTTTGTCCACATCACCATGCAATGATTCCATTGTTCAGCGAAAAATGACTCAAATTAGGTTTTCTATTAGATGCAATAAAACATGTCACTTGCGGCTGGGTGCGGTGGCTCATGCCTGTAATCCCAGCACTTTGGGAGGCCAAGGCGGGCGGATCACGAGGTCAGGAGATCAAGACCATCCTGGCCAACATGGTGAAACCCCATCTCTACTAAAAATAAAAAAGTTAGCCGGGCATGGTGACGCATGCCTGTAATCCCAGCTACTTAGGAGGTGGAGGCGGGAGAATCCCTTGAACCAGGGAGTTGGAGGTTGCAGTGAGCCAAGATCGCGCCACAGCACTCTAGCCTAGCAACAGAGTGAGACTCCGTCTCAAAAAAAAAAAAAAAAAAAAAAAGTCACTTGCAAACCTTGGATTTGGTCAGTGTTTAATAGATTGTCTGTTGACAAAATATTATACTTTTGAAAGTCATGCTATAAAAATGAGCATATCAGAGTGTATCACATTTAATGACTATAATCGAGAAGGACTCAGTTTACAATTTTTAGATGTTTCCAGTAAGATTAACTTTATTTTATTTCATCCCATTATATTCATTTTGGCAGTTTCATTGCTCAGAAAGGGAAATAAAGTTACAGCTCAAATTTATTTATTTATTTGTACAAAGGTTCATTGGAGGAGGAAAATTAAGGCATGATTTATAATTTGTTGCTAAAAAATTCATTACTGTTCAGGGAATTTCTTTTTTTTTATTATTATTTTTGAGACTGAGTCTTGCTCTGTCACCAAGCTGGAGTGCAGTGGCGCGATCTTGGCTCACTGCAACCTCTACCTCCCGGTTCAAGCGATTCTCCTGCCTCAGTCTCCCGAGTAGCTGGGATGACAGGTGTGCACCACCACACCCAGGTCATTTTTGTATTTTTAGTAGAGACGGGGTTTCACCATGTTGGCCAGGATGGCCTCAATCTCTTGACCTCATGATCCGCCCCCCTCAGCCTCCCAAAGTGCTGGGATTACAGGCATGAGCCACAGCGCCTGGCCTAGGGCATTTCTTAAAAGAAAACAGTTGAGTGTTTTACAAAAGCACAGAGGGTGGAGGCTAAAGTTAAGGAGGCTTGATGTGAACTCTACTCTGTCACATACTCATGACCTTGGGAAAGTGTCTTTCCTTGCTGTGCCTCCGTTTTCTCATTTTAAAAAGGGATCACAATACACACAAGCTGATGTGAGGACCAAATGGTTTAACGTAAAAGTGCTGTTCACTTTTAGCTATAATTGTGCCCACATGCAGCTACAATGTTTTGCATGTATATTTCAGATTAGGAGCAGCATTAGAGAGAACCCAATAACCCTGACATGAGAAATGGGACAGTAATGTATTGTTTAAAAAGAAATTATAATCAAATGTGAGACAGGTATTAAAAATAAGATGCATAAATTCTAGTATCACAGCTCATGAAGCATGAATAGTAATACTAGAACTGATTCATATTCTTGATTATTCTTTTAAGATTAATTTTAAAGGATAGTGAAGTTCAATTGGATGAATTTAGGGATAAAAAGGTGATTTAAACCACAAAAGATTGCCTGTTTTATAGTCCTTTTTTTTTTTTTTTTTTTTTGACAGAGTCTTGCTCTGTCGCCCAGGCTGGAGTGCAGTGGCGTGATCTCCACTCACTGCAAGCCCCGCCTCCCAGGTTCACGCCATTCTCCTGCCTCAGCCTCCTGAGTAGCTGGGACTACAGGCACCCGCCACCACACCCGGCTAATTTTTTTGTATTTTTAGTAGAGACGGGGTTTCACCATGTTAGCCAGGATGGTCTTGATCTCCTGACCTCGTGATCCACCCACCTCGGCCTCCCAAAGTGCTGGGATTACAGGCTTGAGCCACTGCGCCCGGCCTATAGTACTTTTAACATATATTTACATGGCCTGTACCTAAATAGATATGAAGAATGATTACACTCTACAAGACAAACAGCCCAGTAGAAATATGGACAAAAGATTTCAACAGCCACTTCAATAAAGAACATATACAGATGCTAACTAAGTATATGAAAAGATGCTCAAGATCATGGGTCATTAGGGAAATGCTAAGTAAAACAAGTACCACTAGACATCCACTAAAATGACCACAATTGAAAATACTGACCATAACAAATATTAGCAAAGATGTAGGGGCAACTGGAATTGTCATCTGCTGCTGAAAATGTAAAATGCTATAACCGTTTTGAAAAAAGAGTTTGGCAGTTTCCTAAAAATTTAAACATATACCTACCATACAACCAGACATTCTACTCCTTGGTATTTGCCTAAGAAATGACAGCCTTTTTCCACACATAGACATGTATGCAGATATTCACAGCAGATTTACTTCAACAACCCAACATTGGAAAAAAGCCAACTGTCTATGGAGGTGACTGGATAAACAAATAGTGGCATATAGGCATAATGGAGTAGTACTAAGCAAGAAAAGGAAATAAACTATTGGCAGACACAAAAGTATACATAAATCTCAAAATAATTTTGCTGAGTGAAAGAAGCCAGATCAAAAAAGAGTACAGTTTTTATCATCCTATTCATTTAAAATTCTTGAAAATGCCAACTAATCTATACTGACAGAAAGCATATCTATGGTTGCCTGGTGATGGGAAATGATGGTGGGAGGTAGAAGGGAGGGATTACAAAGGATTGCAAAGACATGACAATGTATTACAAAGTGTGGAACACACTCATCATCTTGCTTTTGTTGATGATTTTCACATGTGTATACATATGTCAAAACTTCAAATTGTACACTTTAATATGTGCAGTATATAGTATATCAATTATGTCTTAGTAAAGGTTAAAAAAGCCATAAATCAACTCTGTGTTTTGATTTATAGTATTTTCAAAAACCTGCAATGTATGCAAACAGAAAATTAAAAAAAAATGGGGATCTGTACCAAAAATGATTTGAGATTGAATTGTTATATATAATACGTTTAATCTATTTGTGAAGTTAAAATTCTTCCTGGAGCAAACATTCTGTCTAATAGTTTTACATTTAAAACTGTTGTCTTGCTGAAACTTGCCATTTTTTCTCCAGAGTTAAGTAATGGAACCCACAAATGTTGACCTTCGTTCGTGTTCCTGTGCTGCTGGCTCGGCAGCGCCATTGTCATTCTATGGCACTTGCAAGGTGGTGCTCAAAGATACGAAATGTTCTAAGACACAGAATTACCAAGGCTTATTGTTTTGTGGATTTGACAATTGTAGCTATGGCACTTCCTTCTATGTAAAAGTACTCATGTTGCTTATTTTAGGACATACAAAAAAAAAGAGATGAAAATATCTAGGAGGAAATATCCTTGCAAACAAGAATTTTCTCAGAACAGCTCTTTTTAGAAATTCTAATTTATTAAAACCCACAAAAATAAACTTAACAATAAGTATGTGGGGAACATTCTCAAAAGCAAAGCAACCTTTGAACAATGAGGGAGACATATGTGATAAACAGACAAGGACTCAGATGGCAGAATACTTGGGCTGCATCCTACACCTACCATGGCGCTTGTTCAGAAATCTCAGCCAATGAGAAAGGAATTTTATTTATAACTAAATGGTTTCAAAATACAATTAGACATAAACTTTAAAATGTAACTATAACAAAAATTATATTTAACATTGGATATAGTGCAATTTTTTACATTTATTATGATATAGGGTGGAGCCTATACAAATAAAGGTAGTTAGAACCTCATGAAGTATGAAAACAACTTTGCTATTAATAAATACTTGGGCATTGCTTCAAGTGAAAAGACGCCTTCCTTTTAAAATACATAAACTCCTGAGGCAATGAGTAGTTGCCCAGTGAAAGCTTTCTCTAATTCTAAATGCAAACAAATAATGCATACCTATGTCACAATCATAAAACAGAATGCAGAACACAAAATATAAAACATTTTTCAATATTAAGTGAATAGAAGCAAAGAAACAAGCATTGCAATGTTAAAGTATTATAGCCCACTTGCATTAAAAAAAGACTTCAAATAAATCTAAGGCATGTTAGATTTGGGATATTTTTCAGGTGAAATAACAAATTCCAAAATTAATGTGTGATATACACACATAACATAAAATAGAATGGTTGATTTTACTAAGCCTTTTTTTTAGTTTGAGCTTTTCATATTAATAGTATTTTGGTGAGATAAATAATTTACATGTAAAAAAACTCCCATGAGAAAGAAAAGGCCTAGTAAGGGTTTGTTTATTTTTTTTTAACTTGCAAACATTCCAAATTATTGAAGAAACTGACCCTATAATTAATTTCAGTCTCGTAAGCACGTTTTTATTCCCTAGGGACATAAAAACAAGAAATCCAGGCAACCTCCAAACTAAGAAACAGTTGTTGTTTCAACAGGATGCCTATGCATCTGTTAAAAGGGAATTTGACAACTCTTTTTTTTAACATTAAAAAAGAATAACATTTTTTTTGTGCAGTTGCCATATGCTAGGCTTTATTCTAAGCACCTTAAATGTATTAACTCATTTCTCACAACAATCTTATGCAGGTACTACTACTATTCTCCTTCTGTAGATGAGATAAGGTACTGAGTCATTAAGTGAATGCTGCAGGGAAAGAATGGGGTTAGCCTGTGGGAATGCCCACAACAGATGAACTTGTATAAATACTCTTCTGAGGTGGAAATTTTTTTGTTGCTTTAGAAAAACAAAAAACAAACAAAAAAAATCACACGTTTTCACTGAAATGAAATTAAGTGACTTTCACTTAAATAAATTTCACTTAAATGAAACCTCAGCAGTAAGAGGGCATTGAAGGCCACAGGGGTAAGAGTAAGAAGCCAGAACACATCCTTAGAGGAGAAAGGGGACATAGGCCCCCTTTCAGGGCTTAAGTCTTGGGTGCTGCCTGGTTTGTATGTGGTGATAACGTTTTTGGATGGCCTTAGGAGAATTTTGGGTGCACAGAAGAGACCATTTAGAAGTTTCCATTAGAATTTAAAGTTAATTTTCAAGTCATTAAAGTTACAAATCAAAAACACAGCTCCCTTAGGCTTTTTATTTAGCCTACACCATCTTACGAATCTGGTAATTTTGACAATCAACTTAGAGTACCAGGACTCAGGACTTTAGGTTTCAGGATCTCTTCGCAGTCTTAAAAATTATTGGGGCAACACAGAGCTATTCTTTATGTAAATTAAACCTACCATATTAGTAATTAAAACTAGAAATCTACGGTCAGGCGCGATGGCTCACGCCTATAATCCCAGCACTTTGGGAGGCCAAGGCGGGCAGATCCCAAGGTCAGGAGATTGAGACCAGCCTGGCCAACATAGTGAAACCTTGTCTCTACTAAAAATACAAAAATAAGCCGAACGTGCTGGTGGGCGCCTGTAGTCCCAGCTACTCGGGAGGCTGAGGCAGGAGAATGGCATGAACCCAGGAGGCGGAGGTAGCAGTGAGCCGAGATTGCGCCACTGCACTCCAGCCTGGGCGACAGAGTGAGATTCTTCCCCCCCCGCACCCTCCCCAAAAAAAAACACACTAGAAATGAATGAAAAACATGTACTTAATTAAGTTAGAAATAATAATTCCATTAATATTAGCATAATTAAACAGTATCTTTTAATGAAAATAACACATATTCTAAGACAAAATTAGTAAAATGTGACATGATTTACATTTTTTGCAAATCTCTTCCATATCTGGCTTAACGAACAAACAGCTGGACTCTCTTCTCTGCTTCCGCACTCTGCGTACTACAATACTGCCCCTCATGAATCCTCTGGTCAAGTACACTGTACACTGAGAGAGTAAGAGCAAACAAGACCAATAGTCTCTTAGCAGTATTATGAAAATAGTTTTGACCATGGTAAACCCTGAAAAGACCCAGAGAACCCCCTTGGAAACTGAACCTAAAGTGACTTTGAATGATGTTTATTACCATTGATATGCATATACCTTTCTAAGTGTTATAAATGCCTGAATGAAAAACCTTCATTACCACTCAAGTAGTTCTCATATAGCTAATAAACTGACCTTATAAATGCCATAAACTTAAGTTATCTTAAATATCTTGATGGAGGACACAGAGATTTTTGCTCAAAATTCCAACTTTAAATGAATGATATGGTTATACATTGTAAACTGGAATTATCAGACTGTAATTCTAATGGGACAAATTCTTTTAAAATTACATCTGTAATTTTCAAACATAAACACATTCTCCTTAAAACAAAAACATTATATTATGATCATGATTCTTTTAAACATTTCTGTACAGTCATGCTTTGCTTAATGATGAGGATCTAGTCTAAGAAATGTGCTATTAGGTGATTTCCTCTTTATGGGAACATTGTAGAATGTATTTATGCAAACCTAGATGGTGTAGCTTACTACACACCTTGGCGATATGGTATAGCCTGTTGCTCCTCGGCTAATCTGTACAGTATGTTACTGTACTGAATACTGTAGGCAGTTGTTACACAATAGTAAGTATTAGTGCATCTAAACATATAAAAGATACAGTAAAAATACCATGTTATAATCTTATGGAACCACTATTACATGCACTGTCCCTCATTGATGGAAATGTCAGTATGTGGCACATAACTGTATTTATAATGTTAGCTCTCTGAAGCTTGGATAGTTTGTGTGGCTCTTCCTAGCAATCAGTGTAACTCAATCCTTACATGACTTCATGAAATATGTAATTCATCTTTACTTCATAAAAATAATATTGAATCAAATTTCTCTATTAAAATTGCAGTTACTAAATGGGGCAGTTTGACAATAAAGAAACCTTCAATGAAAGGAACCCATGAAAGTTGTAGGTTTGCATGGCAAAAACTAATAATAAATAAAAATAAAACAAATGAACCCCAATAAGCATTGATTAAGAAAGTAAAATGGAGAAAACTTACTCTGAAATTAAACAACCAAGAAATAGAGTGAACAATCTTCAAAAAGTATAGAAGTTCTAAAATATCAGTTAGCACGCTTCTTTCCCCCATTGTACCACTTCAGAAGAAAACTATCTGCAATGGCTGCAAATCCCTAGATTAAGGAAACAATGAAAATATCTAAAAGTTCTCAGGTTGGAATGCATCAGATATCATCTGTGTTGAGATCTATTTCTCTTGGATTATTTGCAAGCCACAGAAAATGATGCCAGCCTCTAGAGATCCAGGGTCTGTCCATTAC
Source organism: Homo sapiens (assembly GCF_000001405.40). Classification (NCBI taxonomy): domain Eukaryota; kingdom Metazoa; phylum Chordata; class Mammalia; order Primates; family Hominidae; genus Homo; species Homo sapiens. The sequence continues at coordinate 239,604,606 of NC_000001.11, read as the reverse complement.
GGAGGGCAGTTGCCACCCAACACACTGAGTAATCAGGGCAAAGAAAGCCAGCAGAGATTCACTTGTCTCTGGACGTAAATCTCAGAGAAGTAAGTATATTGCTAGACATACAGTGGGATACTATAGACAATCTTTCCATTTCTCAATAATTTCAGTCATAAACTAAAAGAGGTGAGAATGTGCTCAAGAATTTATCTAGCCCAGGAAGCATAAGAGAGGGAGATAAAATTAGTGAAATGATTGAATATTACGGCAATACTCTAAGTTGTATTTAGAGAGCTTTTTTTTTTTCAGATTGTCAGTTAAAAAAAAAACCTAGTTTCCCAGATGTGCTAAGAATTTTCTAATCCATTTAAAGTTTTATTACATTTCCAACTTAATAAATGTTACTCTTAAAGTGTAAGTAATCACCACCTTTAACTTAAGGAACACAAAAAACACAGACATGAGTATGTTTAATCCAGCATCTGCATCTCAAAGAACAACAAAGAAGAAGATGTTTAATTCAAAGAAAAATGATTTACACAAGGAAACTTTTTTAATGTATTTTAATTTGTAAATACACATTTTATGAATCCCCTTCATTTTTACTAATATATTACTGAGCATTTCATGTTTCTTATCTAACTTCATCTTTAACTGCATGTCTGAAAACTGATAATAGTAGTAAAGAAAACAAAATAGAACTTGGACCATAATTTGCTATCTTCAAATATTAGGAGTAGGAAATGACTAAGCTACATAAAATTAATTATAGTAATAATCTTTACCACAAACAGAACTTAATGCAAGACTAATTTTTATTGTAAAACTTATCATACCTGTAAACTGTCCATAATGTGTGTGCATTTATTAACACCCACGCACTCATGACTCAGCTTAGAAATACCTTGGAAGTACCCTGTGAGCGAATCATATAAGGTTAGTTTTCATGAAATATCTAATATTTCCTCTGGTAAAGCAAAGGGTTGGTTTTTAGATCCAGGTAGAAAAAGCAAAAAGAAAGATAGAAGCCCCTGGCTATAAAACCATGAGACCTCGACCTCATTGGCTTTGTCTATACATTCTTACTTAGTTTGAGAGCAACCTTCCTTCCAAATGCTAACTGAACACCATCCCCAGGTGAGAACAAGTAGATGAGGAGTCCCTAATTAGCATGCACTTACTTTATCCAAGGCCACAGAATCCGTGACCTTGCCTATCACTGAATGGTATTGGTGATAGCACCTGTTCAGAAAAACTTAGATATTTTTTAAATAGTAGCTTTATTGTTTATTCTTGCTTTATCTACCTATTCCAAAAAGCTAACTTGTCTATGTTCTCACCTTTAATTGTAAGGACTCTACAAAAAAATTTGAGATGAAAAATAAAAAATATGATACTTACAAAAAACAAAACCTATTATCCTATTGTGATAAGGAACTGACACATACTCAACATGGATGAACCTTGAGACAATCTGCTAAGTGAAAATGAGCTGGTCACTAAAATACAAATATTGTATATTCCACTTATATGAAGTATCTAGAGCAGTTGAACTCTTAGAAACAGAAAGTGGAATGGTGGTTGCCAGAGGCTGGGGGAAGGAGGAATTGGGGAAATGAGTTTAATGGGTACAGAGTACCAGTTTTGCCACATTAAAAAGGTCTGGAGACTGGTTGCACAACAACAGTGTACTTAGTAACATTACTGAACAACAGTGTACTTAATAACATTACTGCTATACAACAACAATGTACTTAATAACATTACTGAACTGTACACTTGTACACTTAGAAATTGTTAATATGGAAAATATTATGTTATCTGTTTTTACCATAATTAAAAAAATTTTAAAGAATTCTCTATATTATAAATATAAATTTGAAAAAGCAAAGTTTATAAACACACATGCAACATTTCTGATAATTCAATGCCAGATGAACATTCCTTACACTATTACTGCAAATAATGCTACACAAAAAACTTTTGTGTAGATGCTTAGTAAAGTGTTTCTAACCCTACATAGGAACAACTTCCAACAGGCTTTGTAAATAATTACTTGCACATTGAACTTAATGAAACAAACATGTATTAGGTGCCTACTATCTGTTTGTTATTTAAAATGCTACATTTTATTAACAGTTATTTCAGTTTTTTGAGTTTAAGATGGACTTTAAAGGGCAGATAGTTAATTTATTTTCCCCTACCAAAATGCATCACTAATGAAAATCTCATGTGAATTCAACATTTCACTCTCCCAGTTATTTCCTTGTCTTACCAAAATTCATAATCTTAAATGGATACTTCATCTATAACAATACCTAAAATTGTCCATGTTTCTTGCTAGAATGAATTTTTATTACTCGGGAGGCTGAGGCGGAAGACGGGCGTGAACCTGGGAGGCAGAGCTTGCAGTGAGCCAAGATCGTGCCCCTGCACTCCAGCCTGGGAGACAGAGCGAAACTGTGTCTCAAAAAACAAAATTATATATATATATATATATATATATATATACACACACACACACACACACATGTATATATGTATGTGTACATATGTGTGCATATATGTATATATATGTGTATATATGTGTATATATAGATATAATTTTAAAGTCAGAAGTGGCTCCTCTTAGTAAAAATATGATTAAAAAAACAGGATCAATTTATTGACATTATGGGCACTTATAAAGTCAAGGTATCGTGAGATGAAAGACGGAGGCAGTATCGAAGCTTTAAACTGAAGACTATTGTGGCGGAAAACAGTTATTGCACCACTAGGAACAAAGGGATATTTTTCAAATTTATATAAAAAGCACAGAAACAGAAAACAATGAAAAGGACAAAAGGGTCTAAATAACAACTATAAGAGCAGCCACAGAAGCAGAGCAAGAGCCACCATTTATCCGTTTGTTGAGCACTTATTATATTGGATATTTTATTTATCTCTTGTATTTAATCATCACAAAAAGTTTGTCAGAGTATTTCCTACCATTTTAAAAAATATGAAGACTAAAGGTTCAGAGTGGTTAATTTGTTCATTGCTACACTGTTGGTACCCATAAGCCTTTTTTTTTTCTAATGGGTCTTAAGACTATAAAACTCTAATAGGCCCACATTTTCTCTAAAACACATTTCCTTTATCTGACTCTAACCTCATTCCCATTTATTTCCCATTTTATGTCTCAATAAGCTCTGCCAGATTTTCATGCATATTGACATTTCCTTTAAGAAAATACAGCTTAAAAACCACTTCCATCACAGTGGATGAGTTAGGTCAAAAAAATTATTTGCTTGTTTTATGGATCAGGAAACAACCCAACATTGCCATTACTCACATCACCATCACTCACATTCTGTGCCTCTTTCAAACCTCCCATCCATCACCAAACAGCACAGATCTCAACAAAGTAACTGGAGAAGACACAAGATTTGAGAATGGAACTGGCTGAAATGAAGGTTCTAGCATGAGATTTACTCCCTTAGGATAATTAATACATTTCCTGAAATGTGAGGATCCACTTAAGAAGTTATATAATCCTCTCCACTGGATTCCTACAAATAATATTTCAAATGAGGGAGATGATTCCTGACTTCTATCATTAAGCTTTAAAATTACTCCCCCTGCCCCACATACTTTTAATCAAGGGGTTTAAAAATCTCAAATGGACTTTGTTGCACTATATGGAGAAAACACATTATCATTTAAGCTATGCTCAGAGACTGATGTTAAATAACAGACAGTGAATAGAGAGAAATGAGGAATGAATGAAAGAAAGAATGCATGCAATGTGAAAGTAAAGAGGAAGGAAGGAAGGAAGGAAGGAAAGAAAAGGAAGGAAGGAAAAGAAGAAAAAGGAAGGAAGGAAAGAAGGAGGGAGGGAGGGAAGGAGGGAGGGAAGAAGGAAGGAGGAAGGAAGGGGAGGAAAGGGAGAAGAAAGGAAGGAAGGGAGAGAGGGAAGGAGGGAGATAAATACTTCTTTGATATATTTATAGGTTGTTGCACATGTGAGTCAATTCCTATTTCTCAAGCTTCAATAAAGTAGCCCATCATTTTACCCTTCTTTTCTTTAAGTTAAAACATGACTTAGTTTCAACTTAATATATTCTGAGAAGAAAAGCCACTCATTGGGAACAAAAGATGTCTTTCTTGTTTCCATTCCTCTTCCAGGATATTAGCCTACCTGACACAATCTGGAAAAATGCCTATCAATTCACATGCACTGGGAGAGGTGCATAAGCAGGCGAAATGGAGTATGGCTGAAGTTTCACTCAAGCAGAAGAGCCCACATAGGGGTCAGCCTCCCAGGGCACCATACAGGATGAAAGAGGGCAGAGAATGCATTGGGATGGCCCCCCAAGACTAACCACCAACATGACTACTGACATGGTCACAGTAGAGATGATGTGGGTCTGAACAAAGGGAGTGGAGATGAGGATGGAGAGGAAGGAGCAGACACTGGAGATTTTTTGAGAGTTGAAATAAACACAACTCAGATGTGAACTGGATGTGAAGAAGATGGGAGCATTCACAGTTGACTGAGATTTTTGGTTTTGGTGATGGGTGGCACTGCTTTTAATCAGAAGAAGGAATATACAGCAAAATGCAGGTTGAGGGAGAAATCAGTTCTTACATGTGCATTTTATGTGTGAGAGTTGGTGGCACAGTCAAGTGGGTCTATATAGATGATCCCTGACTTAGGATGATCCAACACAATTTTTTTGACTAGGATAGTGTGAAAGTGATACGTATTCAGTAGAAACCATACTCTGAGTACCCATACAACCATTCTGTTTTTCACTTTCAGTATGGTATTCAATAAATTACATGAGATATTCAACACTATTATAAAATAGGTTTTGTGTTAGATGACTTTGCCCAACTGCAGGCTAATTTAAGTGTTCTGGGCGTGTTTAAGGTAGGCTAGGCTAAGCTATGATATTTGGTAGGCTAGATGTATTAAATGCATTTTTGACTTATCATATTTTCCTTGTACAATGGGTTTTTCAGGACATAGCCCCATGGAAAGCTGGGTAGCATCTGTACCCTAAGTTATGAAACACAAGTCTTGCACTCCTTCAGTGGGAAGTATGGGTGGGAGATGAAGTTTGGGTATAATCAGTAAATGGATAGAAGTTAAAGCCAAGGGAAAAATGGGAAACCCTTAAATACAGTGTCAGAAAAAAAAAAAAAAAACAGTAAACAGAGGATTTAGTAGTAACCCTGCAGAACATTAATATTTGAGGATCCAAGAATAGAAGAAAAGCCACCAGGAGCTTGCAAAAAAGACTGACAATGGATAAGAAGCCATAGAAACTATGAGGGAGAGCGTTGTCACTGTGGAAGAGTGTCACTGTGGAAGACAATTCAACAAGAGGATGGAGAAGTGTCCTGTGGATTTCATGATGAAACAGTCATTGTTTTATTGGGTGATGAAGGGAGAATCTCTGTTGCAGTTGGCAGAGCAGAAAATAAGAGACAAAGAAGTCGAGAAGGCAAAAGTCCTTTATCCTCTTACGTTTCCTAGTGATGGAAAGGAATGGAATGGAGCAGTGTCTACAACGGAAGATGGGATTAAGGGAGGGATCTCTTTAAAGCAGGAGAGAAATAAGATCCCAGGAAAGATATTATAGGAAGGAGCAGCCAGGAAGAGATTAGGGGAGGGCCAAAACATGAGTGAGTGGTACATAAATGTTTAGGGGCTGAGTGGGAAGCGTCCATGCGTGGTGGCCTCTGTGCAAGTTTGATGGCAGCATGGGTTTGGGGTGGGGGTGGGAGAGAACACAGTCTACACTCCCACTTATTTTGACCTCACAGCCCATATTCCCAAATTTGGAAAAAGCATTCTCCATTTTGAAAAAGAATAAGAAAAGGGGAAAAGGTAAGGAGTACTTCGGTATTTCAGAGCAGTTTGGACATATTCAAATTTTAAGAGCCAAATGAAAGTTTAAAGAAACCTGAAACCTTTGTTGCTGCTTCTCCAAACAAGTCAGGGGGTACTGTCCCTGCTCTGAGCTATCTGGGACTCGTTTTCAAACCATATTTGTGTCTTATTCTTAGTTGGGAACTTTTAATCAAGCAACCTCTAAAGTTTCAGGCTTGGATAAAGCAAGTTCAGTTTAACATGACTTCAATCAAAATACAATTATAAAGGCATTTATATTAAGACCAAGTTGCAAGCTCAGGCTTAGAATCAAGGTCTCCTGAGCCCAAGTCCAGCAGCCTTTTCATTATACCAATTTTATAAGACTATAAATGTAATGAGTACGATTTCATCTCAGGGAACATTCTAGATGCAAGGGAGCCAAGGAATAACACGCTTCTTGTTTGCTGTGAATCAACAAAGATCCAGATTTAAGCCCCTCTGCTGGACTGGCAGCGAAATCTAAACAATAATAATAATAGGAGAACAATAACAACCTCAATAGTAACTGAGGCCTTTCTAAGATCCTGGGGTCTTACAAAGCACTAGAGGAGGGAGAGCCTCACCTGCCCTGGTAGTCGTTTGTGAGCTGTGCGTCCTAGTGTGTGCCCCTGGCCTTCAGGACCCCTGGCCCTGGGCTGTGTTTTCTATGTGCCATGTTTAAGGCCCAGGAATTAATTTTATGATGCAGAAGTGAATGTCTAAGTCAAGTCTCGCTAGAACTTCCTCTGAACTCTTGCCTTGTCCCCAGACAATGCCACTGAACTGCACGAGACCCCTGTTCTCAGAGAGAAAGAAAGATTTGTCAAAGCTCTCCTTTCCCCTAAAAAAAAAAAAAAAAAACTCTGACAGTTTTTTTTTTTGACCACCTCAGGAATACCCAGTAAAAAAATCCCATCAACAAGTTTAGGCTTTTACAGAAGATGAGAAATGCTGCTGGCTGGAAAATAAAAACTTTTTAAAAACAAAATAGAGTTAAGAATTACTAAAGCATATTTGTATTTTAAATATTTACAGCATTTTTGTATTTTAAATATTTTTTATTTAGTTTTTTATCATTAAAGTGAGGTAAAAGGGAAAGTTGAAAGAGTAAACACAAGTTAGTATTGTAATGATATGACCAGATTTTAAGAAGAGACAAAAGAACAAATAAAAGGATATAATTAGAAACAATTCATGAGGAGAAAGCTAACTGCAGTCATCACATATAAAAAAATCTACAAGATCAGAAACTTTGGAAACCAGTTTTTACTGTGATATGGCTTAATAACTTGGACAAGACCTTTCAACATCTGCTACAGGTTAGCTACTGATGGTTATGCTGTCATGTATATCATTTTAGCATTCAGAAATAAATTTCCTTGTGTATAGGGCCATTGAAAACAAAAATAAAGGTGCAGTTTTTATAACACGAAAAATGAAAAGGCTTGAATTCTTAGAGAAAAGAGAACATATCCTATACCTTCTTTTTTCTCCGGTGCCCAGTTCATAGGAAATGTCTAAAAATGAATGCCGCTGATGATAATAAAATGGCAGAATATTATAAAAAGAGGAATATTCCCAAAAACATAAGTTGAAGTGAATTGTAACAGAGTTTTCACCCATATAGGCTTTTGGTTTATTTACATAATTGTGTTTATTTTATTTTAGTTTTTATTTTGACTTCTGCTTAAACTAAGAGCTATTCAGAAAATCACAAAAAGAGTTATTTTCTTAGTGAAAAGGTTCTCATTTTCAGACTTCTGCTTTCCTCTCTTCTGCTTCCACAGACACACACAGAAAAACCCAACAACTTTGCTTTGTGTGTCCTGAATCTTCTTAAAAATTTTTGGTCACTTGTACAGCATTTAAAAGATTATATATATGTGCAGATACTTAAAGAAAAAGCCACTTTTCTGCCCCCTTATCCATTAAATACTAACCTATTTTAAAATCACCTGGGCCTCAGAGATGACATCTGTTTGTTCAGAATGTGTTTCACATTCTAGACACTGAAATATACATTGCTACAAGAAAGCATCCTTTTCAAAGCATAATGATTGAAACTAGAGTCCATTCTCTGATTTAAAACTAATCAATTAATTTATTAATTAAAATTAAAATTCATCAGGTATATACTTATCTTTGAAATATATTTTGATCCATCGAAAAGAAATGGCATAGTTATCTTGCTATTTTTAAAACCTGTCCTATTCTTCAAATAGTAAAACAATGATTTGTTCTTTTTGCTGAGAATTTTTTAAATAATAGAGGCACCTCTTTGGTTCTCCTCTTAGGACTCTGCTCCTCATACAAGCTGCTGAAGGTCTCCCCTTTTGTACTTGCAGCTCTCCTTCCACTTAAAAAAAAATTAAATAAAACTTTTAGGGACATATGGCTTTTCTTCCACCTCCATGTTTCAAATTTACTTCAAAACACCTACACAGAGTTGGAGGTTTCTAAAGTGTCAACAGCTGAAATGTCCCAGGAGCTGTAAATGCCTTTCATGTAAAGAGTCAGAGATGGAAAATTACTAGTTTTAAAGAATGAAAAAGCAGGCAGCCTTAGAGAGGTTATCTCAACATTGATTTATTTCTATGAGACCTCAAATGTTTTAATAAAAGAGAAATGGAACAAATGTTAGGTATAAAATTGCTCAAACTTTAACTTTTATAAATACATCCAGGTAAAACACTTAAAAGTGGATTTTGTTTTGCTTTGATTAAAAATGAGAAGCGTGAAATTACACTGATTCTTAGTCTAAAGACATTATATGTTTTAGGCAAGGTTCTGTCTTCTAAAAATAACAACATATAGTAAAAAGGATTGGTATAACAGTATTCAGAATTATGGGACTATCTGTAAAATTAAAGAAATAAATACTAAAATAAAAAAATGGAGCTATATTTTGGCACTGATGTTTAAATTAGAATATATTCCCCTGGTATACAATCCAAATTTCACCAACACTGGAGCAAATGTACCATTTTAGAGTGAAATGGTTTAAATAAGTCAGACTTGTTTGTCTAAAGAAAATTCTAATCTCTTCCACCCAAATGAATGAATACTGAATATTGTCCCAAGATTACTTACAAATCTCACAGGCTTGGCAAATTGGATAATTGAAAGAGAAGTTAGAAAATGCTATTATAACACAAAGAAAGTAAGCAAACATCTTGGAAATACATCATTTCCAAATACTTAAATAAATCCAAGGATTTTGTGCTTTATAAAAATAAAGCATAGATAAATAACTTAAAAAATAGAGATCTAGTTGAATATGTCAATATCTTAAGTCATGGAAAATATTTTGCAGACACACTCTTCTTTCAGTTACTCAAAATAATACTACAGTCATCCCTTGGTATCTGCAGGAGATGGGTTCCAGGACCACCTGAGGATACTGAAACCTGGGGATGCTCAAGTCCGTGATATAAAATGGTATAATATTTGCATATAACCTATGCACATCTTCCTGTTTACTTTAAATAATCTCCAGATTAACTACAATACCTAATGCAGTGTAAATTCTATTTACACAGTTGTTTTGCTGTATTGTTTAGGGAATAAAAGTCCATACTTGTTCAGTACAGACACAATCGTTTTGTTGTTTGTTTGTTTGTTTTTCTTTTTGAGACAGAGTTTCACTCTTGTTGCCCAGGCTGGAGTGCAATGGCACAATCTTGGCTCACCATAACCTCCACCTGCCGGGTTCAAGCGATTCTCCTGCCTCAGCCTCCCAAGTATCTGGGATTACAGGAATGTGCCACCACGCCCGGCTAATTTTGTATTTTTAGTAGAGATGAGGTTTCTCCATGTTGGTCAGGCTGGTCTCAAACTCCTGACCTCAGGTGATCCTCCCGCCTCAGCCTCCCAAAGTGCTGGGATTATAGGCATGAGCCACTGTGCCTAGGCCTGATACAATTTTTTTCCAAAGATTTTTGACATCCATGAATGCAGAACCCAGGGGTATGAAGGGCCTACTATATTACCTTTCTTAAAAGACTTTCTTTTCACCATATATTCCATAAGTTTTCTGCATGCCATTTGAATTTTAGCTATTAAAAATGAAATAGTGAGAGATCAAACTGTGAAGTGGCCCAAAATGTATCTGAAATTGCACTTTCTCAAAACACCTCAAAAGTTTGAGATGGTGAAGACAGTCTTACAGCAGACTTTAAATTAAAATGAGCCTTTTCACCAATGACAACTTGATTCTGTGACAACAAATTCACAGGTTTTAGACTAGAACCTATATACTAGTGCAACAATACCACAGCTACATTCATAATAATGATATTGTCGTATGGATACAAACAATGCTTCTCATAAACACAAACAGCTTGCAAAATGTATTCTTTGCCAGTGCATCTTGTGATACACACCACATTTAGAAAATTCAACCTATTTGGGGAAAAGCTTTGTTGCTGCCACTTTTAGCTTCCTAACAAAAGTCAACAAACTGCCAAGTAGTACAATCGTGCTTATCAAATTTGTCTGGCTTTAAAAATGCAGCTTTGTTCTCTTACTGATAAATCAAACAAGTCAATATGAAGTACTTCACTTTTGATTTCCAAATGTTAAAACTAATAATGCTAAATTGTGTCATAACACAGAATACAGAAATAATTTCTACCTAACAAAATAATTTAGACATTAAAAGGGAGAAAAAAGGATACCTGCTTATATTTTTTACAAGACTTTCTGATGTATTACATGCTTGATGATAATTATTAATACAGCTTAAAAGAGAGTAAAAGATGTTAATGATATGGAAAATGCCTAAGAGCACAATTAAAGAGGTTATATAGCACAGTAAATGATGAACTTGCTTATCGGTGGATTTGAACATCAGGGTTTAATTACTATTCTAAAGATTTATTTACAACTTAATGGCAATTGATTTTGAGTAAGGGTTATAGGTGCTAAGAATTGCTCTTGAACAAGCTTGTAATCAGATGTGGTAATATGTCAGGCATGCTAATGACTTCTGCTCTCCCTGAGCCAGAATGAAGATCTCTATCAGTGGATATTTTGTTTAACCTGGTAGTTCACGTAGAGCCTGACACTGTATCCTCAAGTTGAGAATTGCTACCGTATTGAACTACTCTTAGTTCTAATATTCATCGTCATAGTTCATCTCTGTGGTGTGAACTAAATATTGAATGACAACAGCCTAGTAAACAGATCACAGCATTGATCTCAGACAAATGAAATAAAATATTTGAGTTTTTTTTTTTTAAAAAGAAATGGTCTAACGTAAGAAATAAATCAAGTGAATCCAATTATTACTTTGGTCCAATGCTCCAAATGATCATGGAAACTAAAGAAGAAATCAGGGCCTCAGGCATCACACTGAAGATCAGTTAATAAACAAAAACAAAAACAAAATGGAACACCACCATAAAAGCTGACAGTGTCTGATGAGGAAAAAAATGGCAGGGCTACTCTAGGTAAAGAATAAAATTTTGGTTTTTAAGGTCAATCATGGTATATTCCATCATGCTTAAAAAAGTATAAGGTCAATCAGTGAGCAAACAGATACTAATCAGATAATCCCATAAACATAAACAGAGGGGTAAAGTATATAAGGAATGAATGACCTAATTGATTTTATCAGCAAAGCTTCTCTGGGGAATACTTCTATTTGAGTTGCAACTGGGCTAGACATGGGCTGCAGCAGGGTGGAAGATGGGGAGTTGAGGAAGGTGTAAAGGATGATAGGTGAGTTTCTGGCTTGTGCAACAGGGTAGGTGATGGAGCCTACAGTGCATCGGGGGAGGAGCGGATCTGGGGTGGAGTGGGAGATCATGAGTCCAACAAAAAAGAACAAGTGTGAAACCACAGAGAGCAATGACTGATTAAGCACAAAACGATGCAATGGACCCAACAGAATGAGAACATGGACCTACACAAAATCTTGTACATGAATGCTAATAGCCACGTTATTCAAAATAGTCCCAAAGTGGAAACAACCCAAATGCCCACCAACTGATGAATGGATAAATGAAATGTGGTATATTATGTGGTATTTCATTTACCACACAAATGAAATGTGGTATATCACATTATTTGGTGATATAAAAAAATGAAGTACTGATATATGCTACAACAGGAATGAACCTTGAAAATACTATACTAAGTGAAAGAAGCCACTCACAAAAGACCATGAAATGAAATGGTCTTATGGAATATTATTCCACTTATTATGACATTTCAAAAATAGGGATATCTATAGAGTCAGAAAATTAGTGGTGGCTTAAGGCTGGGGAGGTGGGGAGAATGACATGGCTATTAACAGGCATGTGTTTTCTTTTTTAGGGTAATGGAGATGTACCAAAATTAATTGCGATAGTTACATTAAACACCACTAAATTGTACATTTTAAATGGAAAAAATATCATAAGGTCACAAGTTTTCAGACTAGATATATGTTAGAGGGACAAAGCAAAAACCTCTTCACTGCAATGAAGATTTCTGAGAGTAAAGTTCAATTTTAAATATAGTTATGCCATTACAATGTCTAGGACACTAGACTATGGATGGATGTCATGTAACATGGACTCTATCTATTTTTAATGAAGACATGGTGAGAAGGCCTAATTCAAATGAATAAGCTCCTCTTACAGAAAGCAATCTACCTCGCCAGAGAGAAAATAAAAGACTGGAATTCTGGAAACACAGAACCATTTGTTCTGCCAGCTCAGAGCTCTAGTTTAGGGATCTAGGGCTTAAGAGTGACCAACAGTAAAAGGCCCTGCCAATCAAGGCCTCTGAACTTTTATTTCCTGGGCCTAAGCCAACCAAATGTCTCCCATGTTACTTATTACTTTCCCTCCTGAGGACATAGAAATGACACCCTTCTTCCTTATAAAAATAAACAAAATGCTATCACTTTGCAGGACATAAAATTTGTAGCAGGCTTCAGCTACTTCGATAAAACTTCACAACTGTGTTACTGTACTGCGTTCTCAGACACAAGGCCCAATAACATACTTGTTTGGGACTCAGTTATTCTGAACTTTCAGCTGACAGCCCATCCATTTACTTCAGTGGCTATTAAAATGCCATTTCCGAATCTTAGTTCAGAGTAATCTTGTTTCTTTTTTTTTTTTTCATCTCCAAGAAAAGACGGCACGCATGGTGAATTTTGCTATAGTCTTGATTTTGAAGTAAATAGAAATAACACTTCCTAAGCAGTCCGCTGCAGTCATTGCTTTAGCACGTTAAGATGGTGTGACCAAATTCTGTCACCTTAGCTGTGAACTGAACATAAGAGACAAAAGCGCAGGTGATTCCAGCTATAGGCAAGACAATGAAGTATGTACATCCTGTCTCTGTGCCAGGAAATGTCAGAAAAGCAGGGACAAAGGTGAAGGAGATGTAAAGAAAACCAGAGTTTTCCATGTGGGTGGAGGCTAGATTACCAACACTAGTAATGGAAGCGTGTGTCACAGGAGAGAAGCTTGACCCAAGGAAGGAAGGGAGACCAGCGCAATTTTATAGAGGCGGAATTGTCACCAACTACAATGAGGAAGGTGCACAGCCGCTGGTCAAAACTGAGGATCAGGAGAAGGCCAGGGCTAGCCTAGAGATAAATATTTGAATGTCTTCTTCATAAGCAGCTTTCCATAACTTTCAATGTAACACACAGAACCTATTATGTTTCCCATGTGTTCTCACCAGCGCCCAGCATAATGAGCATTAACACTTACTGTGATGGGGAGACTGTTTCCATGAATGCCAACTGAGATCTAGAAGACTGTGTTAGGTTTTTAACAGCCATATCCTACAATGGGATTATATTTGAGTTTGTAACCACCTAAAATCCTCAGACCTTCTTTTTTTTTCCCATGAAAATGAGTGAGTCTCTTGTCTTTTATCTGTATGATAACATTTTAAATTTAAATATAGGGTTTTATGTTTATTCCTGTTATATTTAATCTCTTTGGTTTTGATCCAGCAATTCAGCCTGCCAAAAATTCAGATTGCTAAATAAGGGATACCAATCAGATGTTTTCTATCTTCCCTGGAGAAACTAAGGAACTTCAAGTTTAAAATGCCTCATGAAGAATTGGGATAAAATATAAAGAATTTCCTGAAGAAAGGGTAAGAGAAGCTAGAAGAGGGATAGGGGAAATTTTTAATCTCTAATTTTTTTAATTATAAAGACTTTTTAAAAAATTATAAAAGTTCATCTTATCAAAAACGGTTACAACAATCTTCTTAGGGATATACCCACATTCAGGAGAACTGGCTATATTTCCTTTGGTTCCCAAATGTACTTGTTTCATATCTGTAAGATGTATTATCCTTCTTTGTGTATTTGTCCTCTCCTTCTGTTAGACTATAAAGTCTCTAAGGACATGAATCATATCTTATTGGTCTTCATATACCCAGAGATATAATGGGCATTTAACATATTTTTAATGGTTGATTTAAATCACTGAATAAATTGAAGGGAAAGTATGAGGGAAAGAAATTCAATCATTTCATCAACAAACATTCAGCACTTACTCCACACCAGGAGTAGCTAGGGATTCCCAGAGCAAATCCACCATCCTGGCCTCCTGAGGGATGATGAGAAGAAAGGAGACAGACTAGATGATCTATGAAGGTGACCTTGAATCTTGTGGATCCATCACAGCCACGATTTTAGGTCCAAGACCATCTACATTCAAACATTATAATACACTTCAGAGAGAAATATAAATAAAGGAAGATTTTTAAAATTAATGATGCTAAAACTGTGGGTTTTTAAATAAAAAATAAAAGCACTTACATTTATCACTAAGGCATTTTATGGCATTTAAATACACATAATCTTGTTTCTAAAATCATGCATCTATTGTGGACTTACAAGTTCTTCAGATGCATAGTCAGACATATGTGTATATATAACTATATACATAAAAAAACTATATATATAAAACTATCAACAGCCTCCTACCTGTGTAGACATCTTTTTGCCAAAGATAATTTAAGGTGCTAATTGCAAGCACTGTTCATGAAAAAGAAATTCACATATTAGTGCATGGAAATTACATAAAACTATATATATATATATATATATATATATATATAGTTTTTTATATATATGCATGGAAATTACATAAATATATATAGGTGCTAATTGCAAGCACTGTTCATGAAAAAATTTCACATATTAATGCATGGAAATTACATAAAACTATATATATAGTTTTATACATATGCATGAAAATTACATAAAACTATATATATATGAAACTATGTATACACATAGTTTTATGTAATTTCCATGCACTAATATGTGATTTTTTCATGAACAGTGCTTGTAATTAGCATCTTAAATTATCTTTGGCAGAAAGATGTCTACACAGGTAGGAAGCTATTTTCACTCAGTTGAGAGATGTAGTAGATATTAAATTTGGTTCCTTATTGTAATCAGTATATTAACTATTCACGAGAATTAATACTTTTCCAGTTCTCATTTAAAATAATGTTTCAGACTGGGCACAGTGGCTCACGCCTGTAATCCCAGCAATTTGGGAGGCTGAGGAGGGCGGATCACTTGAGGTCAGGAGCTGGAGACCAGCTTGGCCAACATGGTGAAACCCTGTCTCTACTAAAAATACAAAAATCAGCCAGGCATGACGGCACGTGCCTGTAATCCCAGCTACTTGGGAGGCTGAGGCAGGAGAACTGCTTGCACCGGGGAAGCAGAAGTCGCAGTGAGCCAGGATTGCACCATGGCACTCCAGCTTGGGGGACAGAGCGAGACTCCGTCTAAAAAAAAAAAAGATGCTTCATAACTCACTAAGATGAACAGTTTTGCTTTCTTATAACACCTGCAGGTCCAAGGTAAATTTAACAAGTGATTTTCTTTTCTATAAAGTGGTCTGGACATTTGAGAAATATATACATGTATTTCTATTCATTCCACTGTTCTACATATTCAAAGTCTATGCAAATTTTGTAGATGGTAGCACTCCACAGAAACACAAGTTGTACCTGTTATTAGCAGCATTTTCCAGACCTTGTGCATCTGGTCTAGTGGCATTTTGGTTCTTTTGTCACAGGACAAAAGCAGGACGCTGGGGCATAAGACAGTTAAAAATATGTTTTGAAGGGCCTCACTGATCTTTCATTTTCTTTTAATATTCAAAATCATCTTTTGTTCACAGGAGGAAGATGATTGTGTACTGAATGATTGCAATAGAACATCTGAAAATGTAAAATGAAAAGGATAACTGAACTTTTCTATGAAGAGCTTGATTATGGCCATACATTGAATTAATGAGCATTCAGTGAGTCCACAGTTCTTTGTTGAGGGTCTCCTGCATGCCATACACTGTGCTACGTCCTGGGGCTCCATAAATTCTTTGTTAACAAAATAAAAATACCCCCATACAGAGAAGCACTTTCAGATACATTACCTCATCTCTAACAGAACACACAGTCAACAGAACCATGCGGAGGCTGATCAATATTCTAAACAATAGTTTCATAAATACTGTCCCTAGACTCGTCTACTCACTGGGAGCTGCAGGGGTTGGTATTCTAGCTAGCAAATGAAACAATCTGCATACATGCTTAAATCAAGTTTGTTTAAAATTAGAAAATGGCATAATGTATTCAAAAGTTTTTATGCAGTATTTGCATGGAATTTAAAATATGCTACATGCTTTGAATTAGGAGAGCAGAGCGATGTGTAGCTCATCTATTGGTCTGATCGAATGTTTAAAAATCAAATTTTAGAGAGCTCTGTACTTAAATAACTGTAAAAGAAAATAAAATCAGAATGCATAAGTTTGTTTACTGGTCTAATAAAAGTATAATTAGCATATGTGAGAAAACCAGATTGGTTAAATAAGATCTGTAAAATTTAAGTAAATATGAAGCTCCTTTTGTTGCTTAGCAAATGAGAAAGTTTATTTAGGTTCAAGTCTGAGGAAATGTTTCTCTTGGCCAGACTACACTTTTGTAATGGTGACTATAATTCCTGAATGCAGCCCTGGAAAAATGACTTCGTTGCTTAGGAGTTAAGAAAACTTGAGAAAGTTAGAAGTATGGGACAGAGATAGGTAGATACTCTGAAACATTAAATAAAGATTATTAAGTGTCTACCGGTAATTTGATCAGTTTTGCCAACTGCACTATATTTCATTGTACAGTTGGCTTAAAATTGCCCCTCATACTGCATTGGCAACCCTCTGCTTCCTGATGTTCTTGCCTCAGCTTATAAATGAAGAAAATTTTCAATGAGAAAAAAGTTCTTTCTGGTGTCTTTGGCAGGGGAAGGCAAAGCGGGAGGGGAGGACTCTCTATCTAGCTTATATCTCTCTTGCTACCATATTTTTCATCAAAAGGAAAGAAGCTGACGTAAATGACTGGTAAGAGGCTGGCCTGTATGTGGCTTTGTTATTACCACAGGAAGGAGGGCTGAGTTGGTCCCTTCAATGGGAAGTGAGCAGCATGCTACTGTCTCTCTGTGGCAAGTACGTGGATCTGCAAGAAGCCACCAGAACCTACCTCACTGCTCTGTACAGCACGTGGAGGTGAGGCCAGGGGCCTGCTTGCCAGAGGGTGGTCAGAAAGGTCACCACGCGCTGATTTCTGATCATCCTGTGACAGAATGTGTGAGGTAGCGCTGAAGTCAACTCTTTCCCGGCTCAGGGAAGAGGACATGGCTCCAGCTTCTCTACAAGCATGGGAAGGAATAGGCTTGAGGAGTTAGTAGGAGCCCAGATTTCTCAACCAGCCATGTTTTCAAATCCAGCTTTATCCAAAAGACCTGTATTTTGGGAGATGCCAATATCCATCAATAATACAGTTAAAGCTTCAACTTTCCCTTTTTTCTCTTGGTCTCTACCAGACAGAATCTAGAAAGAAGAGGCAAAAAGTTGGCAATCCAAACTTTTAGTATCAATCCTAGAACTGGGTGTAGCTCAGGAAACATCACATAAAGTGCAGGAAATAATTATAACTCACTGAAAGAAATTTAGAGTCTTATAGCACTTTTTTTTGCCTGAGTGTCAAAATTATAATTTCCCCACAAACAAGGAGAAAGCATGCAACATATCTGCTTTATAACATCCCAGAATATAAAATAAAAAGAACTGAAATATTTCTAAAAGAACAGCTGAGTACTTTAAAAATAAATTAATGGTAGATATAAGCATAAGATCCTTGAAATGTTGAAGAATGGGAAGGGGATTATTTTCTGGCCTTTAGTTTGGGTTCCAAGAGTTATCTAAAATTTTATTTTTGTCTGTGTTTTGATTCATGAGTATTCAAAGCCCTGACATTTTCTTTGAGAAACTTCCATGCTGCAAAAAAATAGGCTGCAGTCCAAGCTCACCTCCACAATTTTCACATAAAGACCTTTACAGCTTATACAGGCCACAGTTATGTATTAATAAGCTTTGGTGTAATTCCAGAGCTAACATCCACAAAAATACAGCAGCAAAAAATAAATAAAAAATAAAAATAAACAAAAAACAAAAAACACCTATATAATTTTCAGTCAGTTCTGACTCAGCTTAGCCTCAGATATTGTTTTATAAAAAAATCTAAACATGTTTGGCACATTAATTCACAGATGTCAGAGGTTACTGGGCCTGTCTGCCTCCCACGGGAGGGCAGGGAGTGGACAGAAATTACTCTTTCAGAGACACAGCATGGAAGAGTAGAAAGTGGATGGATTTCCAATACCTTAAACCAAGATCTGCATTATGATTTATTAGTTGAGTTCTCCTAGGCAAAATTATGTTACTCAACTGGAGCAAAGTATTCTCATCTCTAAAATGGGAATGATAAATAAAACTGACATTGCAGGGGAATCTTTTTTAGTTGAAGCAAAATGCTTGGGAAATAATTAGTGCATATTCATCTATTTGTTTTTCTTTCTCACTGCATGCTCTGCAAAATTCTGTATAAGATGGCTGACTATATTTTACAAACCAAGTTAACCCTGCTTTGGCCATTTAAAATTCATATTTTATCTCTCTGCTTAAAGTATAGGATGTATTGAAATACAAATGTCCATTGACTTTTACAATATTCAGTCTGAGAAGGAGAGTAGTAGTATACCTGCCAAGCATTTATTCCCATCTCAAACTGTGATGGTTAGTTGCAGCTACACTGGACCATTCAGCTGGGCATTCACTCTCAGGTACTGCTATGGAGAGAAAGGCTGACGGTTGCCCTTTATGACAACATGATTAAAGGGGAGGTGTTTCTTCCACACATCTCTAATCCATGAAAGGGTACAGGATGTTCTGCTCCATTCATGCATCACATCTTCACTTCCTTTAGTAATCTTAGTAATTTCCTTTAATCTTAGATACAACTGCTCAAAATCTTTGCCTACCAACCTCAGCTTAAACATATCTCAACTCACACCTACTGGGGACACACTTCTCTCCTAACCAGCTGGGTGACTCCCATGAAGGCACTGAACACCTAGCTCATAAGAAAACTTATAATCACAAGAGAAAGGAAGGACAACCAGTCATTATTCAAATAGAATTTCCAGATTATTATCCTTTTAGCATCAAAAGCTCCTCAACTGTATTTGCACGTGAATATGTGCCTAAAAGTATATATATACACATATATGTATATGTATACATGTGTATATATGTATATACGTATGTGTGTATACATATATATATATATATATATATTTAATTGTTGCTCACCTGAAGAATGGTTGCCTCTTCCAGTTGCAAATCATGAAATTATTTGAATCACTCTAACCAGAAGCTAGTTTAGAAGCTTACAAAATTAATTGTATCTTAGGATTATGATACTGATATCTCAGTGAACATGAATTTGAGTTCTTAATGAGCTTTGTAAGCAGGAAGAACTACAGTTTATGTGTGCTCACCAACACAATGTCCATATAACCAACAGACGCTTTTCCAACTGGCTTTGGAAGGAAATTAGAAGAGACAGATTCTGAGTTAAGTGGGGAAGATGGTCACCACACTTGGCACTTTGTGGGGGCTAAATCTGGACTCTAATGAAAATCCCTTGAATCCCAAGCCACCCAAGACTCGAATCCTCTACCCAGCATTTTATGCACTTTCATTAGCTCCTAAAGAATTCATCTGTTATGTCATAGCATTCTTCAGTCTATTTAATGTTTATTCTTATCTTACCTCTCTTCTTTTCTTACATATGTTCTTCAATACACTACTTAAAATATTTGAATTTAGTTTAACAAAGCTATAAAATAATCCTCATTTTTAAAAAGCCCAAGAGTTTATGGATGCTAATCAGTTGTATCTTTGTTTTCTATCTCAGCCGCTCAAAATAATTATTCTAGGCAAAGCATAGTGGCAGTGACTCACACCTGTAATCCCAGCACTTTGGGAGGCTGAGGCGGGCAGATCACTTGAGATCAGGTGTTCGAGACCAGCCTGGCCAGCATGGCAAAACCCTGTCTCTACCAAAAATACAAAAATTAGCCAGGCATGGTGGCACACACCTGTAATCCCAGCTACTCGGGAGGCTGAGTCAGGAGAATCACTTGAACCCAGGAGGCGGAGGTTGCAGTGAGCCAAGATCGCACCACTGCACTCTAGCCTGTCTCAGAAGACTTTGTCAAAAAAAAAAAAAAAAAAAAGAAGAAGAAGAATGACTAATTCGAATCCAACATGAGAAAAATACAACCATGTTCTGATTTTGTGGTGCAGAACAAAGTCTGGGAGGAGGTGAAGGACTCCTGCGTTCCCCCAGCTGACAAGGGGCAAAGCAGGTATTTTCTATTCCTCAACGCCTAATCTAATGGAATCATGAGGTTTAAGTTTGTGGTGTGTTCACTGGCCAGCAGGGTAGGATAAAACTCATAATTTAAAGCATTTTTTTTCTCTAAATAGTCACAAGAGTTTTGCAAAACTTCCCAAGCTAGAGTAAATAAAAATGAATGATTAGTAACTATTCTGACAATAAAAATGTGCTGGGTGATAAAAAATAAAACAAAGTCCTTTTATGGTGATTACGCTGATGACTTTCTGCTGTCATGAAGCCAAATGGACTAAATTAAATAAATCTTATATTTCTGTTCAGAAAAGTGGGTGTGGGGAAGGAGAAAAGGGAGAGAAAAGCAAGTCAGAACTAGTAAATTTACATTCAAAGCAGTTCTTATCTAAGTAACTAACCAGCAAGAATAAATTCTTAGACTAAGTATCTCTATACTAAATTGACCTGCATGACCATAGCTCTCTGTGTCGACGTCCCGTCTTCCCAACTACATTGTCTAAAACTTTGAAGACATGGATTGTGCCTTATAGCTCTCACGTCTAGCACATTGCCAGGCATAGCAGAGACATTTCCTATTTCTTGAATGAATGCATTATTTCTTGTGTCTAGTATTTAATAAGCTCATAACAAATATTTTTGAGACTGGTGATATATTTGACCATTTCCACATTTCATACACTCAATGAATCATTTGTAATTAAGTTGTCTACAAGTACATATGCATGTTTAATACAAAATACACAAATAGTATTAACATACTGCCTTCCCGTATGGTTCACTCATACATGTGACCTGCCCACACAGCCCACACAGAATTTCGCTCTTTCAAGGAAAACAGATACTAAACTATCAACTGCTCTAAAGCATGGTGAGGGAACTTCACATGGTCCATGGTGAGGAAAGCTCCACTGATTGGGTGACAAGGAAGATGGTGGCTGGCATTGAAGGCACAGGTATGAGTGAGCACTCACATCCAAGTAATTGAGAGGAGCACAGACTGGCTGGAGAGCAACAGGGAAGAGGCAGAGTAGCTTCTATGACTCTGGAGAGCTCACTGAGGACCAGATCAGAGAGTGTCTCATAAATCAAATTAAAGTCTGTGGATTTTATCCTAATGAAAGACACTGGAGAGTTCTGAGCAAACTCACGGCTCGATCCCATGTGATTTTGGAAATTTCACGCTAGTCACTGTGTGAAGAATGCCTTCTGTAGGGGAGTGACATAGTTAAGTGGCCAGTTATTACGCTGTTTTAGTAACCCAGGAAAGAGAAGATGATGCCATGGATGAGGATGGTATTGAAGAGATCAACTTAAGAGGATGGGAGGAAACACCGTGTTCAGTTTGGGACGTGTTGTGTTGGAGATGCCTGCAACACACAAAAGATGATGTGCAATGAGATGTTGGATGTCCTGTATGGAGCAGAGGAGGGATGTGCTAATCAGGGAAATCATGGAAGACCCATGAGCATAGGGGCTGCCAACTGAAGCCACCCTGTGCATGGCCTCTCAGGGAAATTGGGTCTTGTGAAGTGTAACCCCTGAGTGCACAGTTTTCCTACAGGAAGAAAACTGAGTTAGCGATAAAATAACTCTCAAAAGGAAAGTACCACAAGTATATTGATTTTATATAAAGAAGATTCTTTTTTACATGAGATGATAATATAGGTCAAAAATAATTATTTTTAGCAGACAAAGTAAGCCTGCTACTTTTCTAAGCCTACAGAGCACTCCAAATCCTCTTTAAAGTTCTTGTGTTAACATGAGTGCAAGTGAAAACTTCATAAAAGCTAGTAGGTGGCCATAATTTGTATTACCCAATAGGATCCCAAGTTCATAGTACATAGAGCATAGTTTTACATAGCACATAATTTAGCTTCATTGTGCTCTTTCACAAGAAATTAAAAGTTGTAGTTATTTTAAATTGCATGTATTTGCAGAGTACTTAGGTTAAAAAATCCTGCAAATGTTGGATATTTACATGTATTCTTTCATGTTATTGTCACAACATCATGGCAGAGATGAAAAATGCTACAAATAATGATACCATAAATAATTGGCAAAATTTGCTCTGCTCCATATTACAGTTGAAAGTAAAGTTTTTAAACTCCTAACTTCTATTCAGAAAAGCAAAGTGGTAAGACACACAGGCTTTAGACTCAGGCAGCTTAGGTTCAAATCTTGTGTTTTCCACTTATTTGCTAAGTGATACTGTAACTTCATCTTCTAAGACTCATATTCATCATTTATAAAATAGGGATACTACCTACTTTTAGGATGATTGTAAGCATTAAATAAGAAAATGTTATTAAGATATTAGCATAGTGTTGGCTGCCAATAAACCATTCTAAACAGAGTTAATCAAGGTAAATGATATTCAATTAATAATCCAGAATTAATCATGTCAGTACCCAAAAGGTGACCAGCACAAGGAGTTTGGCTTTGTGGGTCCTTCATAATAGATGTCTTCCAATGCAAACTTTGTAAGTATTTTATACATACATCCCCCCCACCCACCCACACACACACGCAACTCAGCAGCAATCTGAGAATGAAAAAGCAATGATGTTAAACAGGCCCGTATTTGAATCCTAACTTTGTCACCTAATAGCTGTGAGACTGTAAACAAGATCTAAGTTTTAATTTCCCCATCTGAAAAAGGAGAGCAATATCTATTCTCTTTAAAACATAGGGATACTTAGAAGTTTAAAGAAAATAACTTTTCTATAATCTATAGATAAATCTATAATAAGTCCTCGACATATGGCTTTTCCTTCTCCTTTATATTATTACTATTTCTATTCAAGAAACAAAGCCATGTGCATAAGAGTACAGGGTCCACGATGGTACCGTATGCTGCATGTTCTCCCTTCCTACCAAGAAATCCTAAATTAAAATGAACATCAAGGGCTGTGGTGAGAGGATTTTTTTAAAAGTGACAAAATGCAACTTTGCAGTATCCTGAGGTTTATGTCAAGAGCCATCTCCCTGGGTCACTGCCAAATGTTGTGAGTAGGACCCAAACTGCATTCATTTGGGTAGTCAGACACCCAAGAGGTAAAGAATGCCCTGCCAAAGGTGGAGAAATCTGTGGATGTGAAAAACCAATCCTAAGGAGCACTTTTGCAGAAAATTTCTGCATGTAAAAATCACACAAGGCTTCATAATTTCTTAACCTATATATAATGTATTTATATATATATATTTACATATATACACACACTGTATATATATATGCACTTGTGTGTGTGTGTGTGTGTGTGTGTGTGTATATATATATATATAAAATTGGGCAAAGTAGCCTGAGTGGCACATCTAAAATCACATACAAATGAGAGCAAGCACTGGTGAATATTCTGAGATTCTGACGATAGGTCTGGAGCTCAGATTGTACTATTAGTTTTGGTAAATCCTAGAGGACCACAAATCAATCACTTGACAGTTCTTTCTTCTGTTGGGTGAGGATAACAGTGACTTTCCAGCAAGGCATAAACAGTTGCTAAACTCTTTGCCAAAATACAAGATTATATAAATAGTTGAAATGTGTGAATAGCAGAGAAGAGTTTTAGTTTCCTTCTTTGTTAGATAATAGCATACTCACAATTTGATTGAAAGAGAAGAAAATGTGGAAACTGACAATAATAGTTGAATATGGTCAATTTTTGATGTGTGTGTGTGTGTGTGTGTGTGTGTGTGTGTGTGTGTGTGTGTGTGTGACAGTGTGTATTTTCCAGGTAGTACAGACTGGTTACAAAAGACTTGGGAAAATATGGGGGCAAGAGGGAAAGTACTGTCATCTTTGTATTCACAAATTCTCTTAATGATAGAAGAAGGGTAGGTAAGTAATAGACAATATGGATGCACAAGGTACTTATCAGTTAATTCATAAAGTTCTAAGATCTGGACAGAAGATGTAGACAAATGGCACATAAATGAGGGCAGCTAAGGAAGAGGCAGTCTGGCATAGTGGTTAAGAACACTGGAGCCAGGGAACCTGAGTTCATATCTCAACTCACACATCTGTGAGCTGCAGGACCCTGGGAAAATCACTTAAGTTTGCTGTGCCTCGAGTTCTTCCCCTGTAAAATGGTGACAATTATACTTACCTCATGGTGTCTTTGTGAAGTACCTGCCTTATAGTGTGTATGTGAAGATGAATGAATAATCAGTTAATATGGACGTATAAATTACCTAAAGCAATGCCTGCCATACAGTGAGTACTATGTAAGTGTCAACTATTATTAAGGATTGGTAACATTTTAAAAAGTCCAAAATACAAAATACATTGAGGTGCACAACAATTATTGAAGGCAAAAAAATTTATTTTAGGAATAAGAAACCCCACATGTGAAAATGGCTAAGGTGAACCCTAAGCCCTAATTATGTGAATGCAGGGATTATTCAAGGGCTACTCTAAGTGAATTCCAGTATCCTGACCTCAGGTCAATTGCCTTTATAGGTACTCAAAGAATCCACAAGTGATAGTCCTTAGATAAGGCTGGTGACCTTCGAAATAAAATATACAAGAGTTCCTATAATTCTGAAAAAATGACACATGCTGTTACAGTTTTCTAAAAGCAATGCCATTTCCAAATGTTGACATTAATATGTTTAATATTCCAGAAATTATTCTGTAATAGATTAGCACAGTGATGGACTTCATGAAGAAAGACTGGGGAATCCCTAAGAACCAGTGTGTGTTTAATGAAATCAGCATGTGTCAAACTAACTTTATTATTTCCTTTGGTAGAGCTAGTAGATTGGTAACCAAAGGAAATATGGAATATAAGAAAACCAGGGGCAAAGAAGGCATTTAACAAGGTCTATTATGACATCTTTCATTCACTCACTTCATCATTCACTCAACGAATATTTAGTAAGTGTTAAAACTATGCCAGAATAGAGTCTAATTCCTTTATTTGAGATAAGTGGTGAAACATTCATGCTAATAATTAATTCTAGTAATGGAACAGTGAGATACTTACATTGTAAAGTTAATAGGATCTACTTAATAGAAAGTGAATGAGGAAGTCTTGGGTTGCTACAAGTTTCTGAACTTGGGCAATGGTGCAGATGAATGGTTCTTAATGGTCCAGCAATAGGTGCTGGGCTGGCTGCTTAAGAAGCACTCGGGGAACTCACTACAATTGTGCATCCTGAGTGGGAGACCTGGAGATTCTGGGTTGGGGACCGGGTGGAGTCCCAGTGATCTTTTAGTGTAAAATGCTCTTCAGGTGATTTTGACATTCGTTCAAGCATGGGAAATGCTGAAAAAGATAGCAATTAATGGAGGACATACTTTGGGATAAGAAGATTAAATTTTTTAAATCAGACACATCATGATCTATACACTCGGGCAAGTTAGGTCATCTTCAAAATAGTCACATAAGAGGTTATACACTAAAATGCCAAAGACTATCATTTGATTAAAACATGATAAAGTGCCTCTTTGGGAATTTATTTCAGATTCTCCAGGGTGAGCTTTCAGATATTGACCATAATAGTAAATTTTGACCTGTAGATTTTTGGGAAAAATTCAGTTATTCAGAGCTAACTAAGACAAATAAGATGACAATTTTTCTGAACAAAGTGGTATCACTGAAATATATGTAGTATATCTCTGTAAAACTCAGTAAATAGTGTGGTGAATGTAAAAATATGAAATGTATAAAATACAAAAATGTGCCAAAGGTTTCTTGAACAATTAACTGCAAAGCCACAAGACACAGATTCATGAACATATTTAATATAACTGCACACACAGATGGAGTTATAAATTATCAAAACTGACTGACTGACCTAACTGACCTTCTATAGAGACAATGGTCTGTGTGATATGACTCTGGGGCTCTCATAAACCTACACCTTATTAAAGTCCTGTTTCCTTGGTCCATTATAGGCACTGAAAATCAAACCATTAGTTTTCCATTCTTGAGGCTTACAGCATTGACCATTACAAAAATGCACACATTCTTGGGAAGAATGACCTAATAAGCCTTCTCAAATATTAATGTCTTCCCATTAATACGTCTGTCATTTCCTTCATAAATAGAGTTTTGCTGGAAGTGTAATGATTCTCTTGGGGGATCCGTATGCTTGCCATGGGCACTTTAGAGGATGCCAGTGACAAGGAAAGTGAAGATGTTACAAACAGGACCTGCCTCCTTCAAGATAATGCATGGTCTGAACATATTTGAAATGGCAACCAATACATAAATCTGATAGGAAATACAATTTGGAAAAATGTTTAGGATGTCATATTCAAATGTGACTAATTTTATGCAGGATTCTATAATGGAACAGGTACCAATGCGAAATGATTAAGTAATTTGTACTCTGCAGCCACCATTATTGTGAAACCCAAATACCTGTTAACAGTGTTAAGAATTGCTATGAGCAATCATTCTGCTCCTGCGAGGCAGAAGAGGGGACAGTGCATGGTAGTGAAACATTTGTTATTTGGCCTCCACACACAAGAAGACTGTGTATCAATCCCGACCACACTTTATATATTTACTTCATTCTTGTCTCAGATATGAGAACTTCAGTCATTACGTATTTTCAATGAACATCTTATTGTCCCTGAACATCTTATTTTCCCTTATTGTTTTTCAAAATGAATTTGAACAATTACAAAAATATTTTTTATTTAAAAAAATTAAAAGGATATGTGTCATAACATAACCTTATCAGTGAATAAACATCAAAAAAAGGAAATAAAGAAGGAAGGAAAAGAAAAACGAAGGAAAGGAAGGAAAAGGCTGGGAGAGTGGGATAATGGGGAAGAGAAAGAAAATAGTAGACAACACAAGTAGAGAAAAAATCTAGTCAGAAATCTATTAGAAGCTTCTGGATTCTAGTCCTTTTACAAATTCTGGGGAAGCAATCAGAAACAGATAAAGTTTATAATACTCCACTTTCAACCTAAAGACTTCAAATGGTCTAGAAAATTCTGAAGTGTTTGTTACAATTTATTTTTTCTTTTTGAAAATATTTTTATATGGAGAAGTAAGTAGGCTAGCTTTAAAGCTGAAATTGTTATGTGTTTAACCTTTACCGGGAAGGGTCGTGCTTGCAGGTAGCACAGTGTGTGCTTTTCAGAGAACTGTTGGTTTCTTTACTCTGATGAAACACCTATAGTCTGCGGTAGCTGTGCAGAAATGGTGATTTTCTTTTTTTTTTTTTTAGATAGGGTCTTGCTCTGTTGCTCAGCCTGCAGCGCAGTGGCACAATCGTAGGTCACTGCACTGCAGCCCCAAACTCCAGGTCTCACATGATCCTCCTGCCTCAGCTTCCCAAGTAGCTAGGACTATAGGCACATGCCACCATGCCTGGCTGATTTGTTTGTTTGTTGTGTGTGTGTGTGTGTGTGTGTGTGTGCGTGTGTGTGTGTGTGTGTAGAGATGATGTTTTGCTGTTTCCCTGATGGGTCTTGAACTCCTTGCCTCAAGCAATACTCCTGCCTTGGCCTCCCAAAGCACTGAGATTATAGGCATGAGCCACCGTGCCTGGCCAGAAATGTTGAAATTTCATATTCACTCATGAGCCAAACTGTTCAATAGTTAATACTCTCATTCCCAATTTTCAGTAAGAATCATGCTAATGCTCTCTTGTCACTTTTTGAACAATCTCAAGTACATTCTATAACCACTATAATTTCACGTGTAAGTGCCATTAACTTACGATCCCTGGGGATGGGGGTGGGTAGGGAGTAGAGGGTTTAGGAAGTCTTACAGCTTTTATTGGTTCTAGCCTCACAGGATGACTGGATAAACAAAATGTGGTATCCATATACAATGGACGTTATTCAACCTTAAAAACGAGAAATATTGTGACATATGACACAACATGGATGAAGCTTGAGGACATTATGTGATGTGAAATAAGCAAGCTGCAAAAGGCCAAATACTACAGGACTCCATTACCTAGAGTAGTCAAATTCATGACTTGGTAGTCAAATGTATAGAAACAGCAAGTAGAATAGTGGTCAGTCACCAGGGGTAGGGGAGGTAGGGAAATGGAGAGTTATTGTTTAATGGGTACAGAGTTTCATTTCTACAAGATGAAAAGTTTTAGATATTGTTTGCATGCAATGTGAAATGTATGTAACACTATCAAGCTAGCTGTACACTTAAAAGTGATTAAAATGGTAAATTTTGTTTTACGTGTTTTTTTTTTACCATTATATATAACCCTGTGTGTGTATATATATCTCTATATATACACACCTGTAGGAGTGCAAACATGTTCTCCAGCCCCTGTTCAGGCCTGACTGATGACTTCCCATGACCGTCACTGACTAGAGCTGTCTGTGCTGCCCTGGACACCTTCCTGGGCCCTTCAAGGTCTACTCTGGCTCAAATACTGCATAGCTTTCCCAGCCTCTAGAATGGAGTCGTATTTTAGCACAGAACCCAAAAAAACTGGCTCAACCTAGGAGAAAACATGAACCCCTATTAATTCAGAGACACAGTAAGCCAAACAAATACTGTGGTTGTTGCATTAGAAATCTTGTAAGATATTAACAATAAAAGAATATGAATTATTTGGGTTGTCCCTGAGCTTTATTAGGACTTGAAGTTTCACTCTCTTCATTCACAACAGACTAATGGCTTTAGTCAGCCGGAGGTATAAGAAACACCCTCAACAACCCTTTAGGCTGCTCAACTGAAAGAGGAATCACTCCCACTTCCTGTCCTATCTTACTCAGAGATTTTCACCTTTTTTTATGTGAAGGTGCTAATACGTAGAGGTTCTTATTTAAATGGCATTTTTACAAAAAGAGAAACTTACCTACACAAATAATATACCAGCTGGAAAAAACAAAACAAGACTTGAGTCTATTTAATTTAAATCCTCTAATCCTTATCATAGGATGTATGAGATTTAAAGTTTCTCTACCAACATATTTATTTTTACATCAGAATCAGGACATAGATTCTACCACTATAAAATCAGCATTAGTAATTCTTGAAATGGTGCCGTCTATTCTGTTGGCAACATTAGAGCCAAATCATTGATTAAGATTGTTACCTCCATTCAAAATAAAATAAAATAAAAGATTGTTACCTCCATTCAACAAATAATTTTGAATGCCTAATATATGCCACAGGGTATTCTAGGTTAGAAGAAGAAGAAAATAAGAAGAGGAGGAGGAAGAGGAGGAAGAAAGAAAGAAGAGGAAGAAAAAAGATGAAAAAGAAGGAGAAAGAGGAGGAGGAGCAGCATGAGGGAAAAGAAAGAAGAAGAAGGAAATTATTTCCCTCATTGAACATAATATATGGTGGAGGGAATAAAATAATCAACAATAAATCCAGTAAAAAGTAACTTATAAAGAATGCCTCAAACTGATAAGTGATAAGGCAAAAAAGAATAATTTGATTATGCCAAGAATGCCTGGATGCAGGAGGAAGGAAGGAGGACAGGCTGCTCTGTTAAGTAGGGTAGTCTAGGTAGGCCTGGCAAAGGGGTGAGATTCCATCAAAGACATGAAGGTAGTAAGGGAGCTGGCCAGTGCATAACCGAGAAGAGTGCTCCAGGCCCAGCGCTGGACAAAGGGCCCCAGGGTGGAATCTGGTGTGGCCCAAATGAGGACCAGCAAGAATAATAGCACAGCTGGAGATAAGTGAAGACAGAAAGAAGGAGAGGAGGGCAGCTGGGAAATGAACATCCAAACCATGCTGGGCCTCTGGACCTGTACCTACTCTGGCTTTTTCTCTGAGTGAAATGGGGAACAATGCAGGGATCTGAGTATAGGGGTATCACTCTCTGGCTGAGCTTTTACAAGGATCATTTTGGCAGCTCAGCTGAGAATAAACTCAAATGGGGTAAGAAACACAGACAAATATCTCTTCCCTTAACCAAAAACTATCTGTGTACAAAGAAAAGACTAACCCTCAATTGCCAGGGTAAGTCTGCTTGCATTGCTTTTAGATGAGATGATTTCAGGGTCATCCTTGTACAGGGCAAAGAGCATTAGATCAGGAGACAAGAGACCAGATCCAGCCTCTACCACTAAAACTAACTAAATAGAGAAATTACTAAATAGATCAAGAAATAACTTTCTAAGGTATGATGGGGGACCTAGTGTGGAAGACAAGGTCCAGATGATAAAGCTAAGGAAAAAGAGTGATATGAAAACTACTGGTTCAGGAATGCAAAATTTAAAAGAACATGATTAATATATGCATAATTATACTATATATACACACAAAATGCTTGCTTTTTGTGAAATTGTTTAAAAGAGAACAATACAGTGAAGAGATCTGCCCTGGGACCTGGGACGAGCTAAAGATCTTGGCTGGAGTACCTATTAGCAGGCAGAACTAGAGGGATAAGAGGATGGTCTATGGAAATCTACACTGCATACATTGCATAGTTCTATGAGACTATGCATATTAAGGATCATTTGATTTCAATATAGGCTATGCACACTAAATAGAACTTTTTTCTTATTCTAATAACTCTCATGTAAAATTAAAAGACTTTAGTAACTGGTTTGGAAAGAATATGGCTTAGGGAAGAGAATTTCCCATGACATTCCAGGGAACCAGGGTCAAGGCTTTGGCCCTGGGACATATCAATGTTAAACTAATTAAAGTAACTTTCTACCGATAAACTTTTCTTGATTACATTTTAAGGTGATATTACTCAGCATCCTCATCTCTTTGATTTTCTTCACGCAGAAGGAACTCAGTAAAACTGCTGGGATATCAAACTGGTATAGCACTGAAAAGGTAGAAGCAAGGATTAGAGGAGAAAAAGGGAAAGTGACAGCCAAAGTTGCAAAAAAGTTGGCACTAAATGGTAGGGGGAAAAAAAGAATGCGAGGAACTAGGCAGCCTCGTGGCGATGGGAAGGAGTGCGGCATGGAAGAGAAGGTATGAAAGGTGTCCGTACTATGTGTACACCTAAGTACTAGGGTAGGGCCAAACCCTCCAAATGCCCAAGAACCCCTGGAAGCTTAGGGATGAATAGGATATTCAACGAAGTGAAGATGAGGTGAGAACATTTAGAGAAGAAACAGAATATTGGAAAGAAAGCTAAATTCTAAGCGGGATATAAACAATCACAGACAAAGGAAGACTACATGTAAAGTATAAAAGTTCTCTCTTTGCTCTGAAGTGCTTTGTGGAATCCTTAATAACATGATTGCATTTTTCTCTGAAATAAAAATAATCGCTTTAAATGAAATATGTTTCATATGCATCCCATATCACATCCATTAAGAGCTGACATTTAGTGTCACTATTACTTAACTATTTTGACTAGGAGAGTATTATTATGTTCAAATAAACTATAAAACCCTGTTATCCTTGGGAACAAGGTTACAATATGGCAAATACCTAATGAGAACAGAAATCATCATTTAAATGAACTAGTTTCAAAGAGCAATGGGGACAAACATTTATGAGTTTGCTGATTGCTAATGATTATTAGTTGTGATGGACATTAGCCGGAAAAGATGTATATCATCATGATGCAAATTTATACAGAACTAGGAAATCTCATTCAACATGACCTTCATTAATATCACAATTCTAACAAAAAATTTACTAACATACAGTCTAGAAATGATGACTCAAGCTTCTCAGTTTCAGTCAGAAAATTAGTAATATCTGTTACCCACTTCAGTGTCTGGAAGAAGAGGACTGAAATTGTGAAATCTTTTGAATTGGAATCTCATCTCCGTTTTATCAACGGGGTCCAAGGATTCTTCAGCAGTCACTGGGGCTGTCCTGGGCCTCAATGTCATCATGGGTAGAGGAATATCTCCTTCTCGTGCCTGCATCTGGATTCCCCTGCATATATGGAAGCCCTAGATTTTAACTTGCACAAGCTTTTGGTGGTAAAATGGCTAAAAAATACAGCTTTAGATTAAACCCAAGCTAAAATGGGGAGTACTGTAACTTTCCAATAGGATGCTTGTAAAGCTTATTTAGACATTATCTGTGAATTATTTAGCATAGCGTCTGGCATATGGTAGTTTTATAATTAAATGGTAGTTGATATGACATACTGGCTGAGCCAGGGCTTGGGAAAAGAAGTCAAAGAAGTCAGTCCTACTGCAAAAGCACTGACCAGTATCAAGAGGTTGAACTCTAGGGGGAAAAAAGAAAAGAAAATGCCCACACATCTATTTACATTTATGAGTTAGCACAAAAATTACTTGTAAGAGAAAAGGAGATGGAGCTCTGGCCCCTTTCATTTGGAGTTGGACATAGTGGAGACTTCTCTGATGTGCTGGGACTATGCTGACTGGGCACACGAGAGTGTAATGACGTGCAGGAGACGGAGATCACTGTGAGAATAAAAGATGGACCAATGCAGTGTTTGACAATGCACAGTGCTGTAAGGGCCACAGGGAATGTTACTCCCAGAAAAAGGGACAGCTGGTGGTGACTCTGTCCTGATCCAACCATCTTAAAACAGGTCAGTGTCCCTAATGGGTCCCAGAGGTATAAGGGAGGATATATGCATCTCCAAGACTGCTCTACACTAAACAATCTGGGCTCCAAAGAGCTCTGCAATTTCACAGCTGTGCACCTCAGTGTGGATTTGAATTCATTTGAAGTGCTGGACAGTCAGCGTGTCTTTTCAATCTGGAAACTCCTATCTTCTAGTTCTGGGAAATATTTTTTGCACTGTTTCCTTGCTAAAATACTTCCCAGAAACTTTCTCTGCACTAACTTGGGTGTTCTTATTTATAGGCCAGGCCCTAACAAGCTGGTTGGAAGGTGTAGTGGGAAGGTGATGCTTGTCCACTTTTGCATTACAAGGTGATCTTGGGCCTGGTCACCTTTTTAACTGGCAGCCACTTAATCTCCATTATTATGATGTCATTTCTCTGGGTAGATTCGGGTTATCCAGATAAAGTTCCCCCAGCCTCACTATTGCCGCCAGCTTTTGTCATCTGGCAGGGAAGGCAGCTGGGCACAGGAGTCTCAAAGTTCACTCTGCAGACTTACATGTAAGCCTGTGTTTAATCCAGCACCTGTTCCTCTTCCCATTTCCCCAGAGTTATTGCTATCTTCTAGTATCAGTGAAGATGGAGTTTGTGTTTACTTCTCGCTGTTTTTGTTTGCCAGTGATTTTCTAGATGGGAGGGGAATGGAAATATTTTTACTCCATCTCAAAGCTAGTCATTCAGATCATCTAGTAAAGGTGCTCCATGAACTACGGTGACCTCTCAGTCACTTACTTCTTTTGGGAGTTTAACATTAAACTCCCTCACATTTTTGAGCAGACTATATAATTTAAGGGACCATCCTGTACCATTTCATCGTTTTGATTTGTAAAGCACTCTCGGCTGTCAGTTATTTGAAACAATGGCCGTAATCAATGCTCAGCTGCAAGCAAATAAAACCAATCTGCAAGCATTAGTATAGATTTGAGTACACCAACAAACTGGCCATTCATAAACTACTAGGGCAGTTGATGTTAGTAACAAACATGAGAAAATAACAGAAAGAGATTTTCCATATCTATCACAGCTCTACTACTTCCACCAGGGAGAGCAAGGGCTCCTGACCATTTCATTTTAGAAGCATCACTGTATTCGTTGGTTATCACGCTGCTATAAAGAAATACCCGAGACTGGGTAATTTACAAAGGAATGAGGTTTAACTGACTCACAGTTCCACATGGCTGGGGAGACCTCAGGAAACTTACAGTCATGGCAGTAGATGAAGGGGAAACAAGCACTTTCTTCACAAGGTGGCAGGAAGGACAGAAAAGCCCAGGGGAAACTGCCATTTATAAAACCATCAGATCTCATGATAATTCACTCACTGTCACAAGAACAGCATGGGGGAACTGCCCCCATGATCCAATCACCTCCTACCAGGACCCTCCCTCGACATACAGGGATTATGGGAATTACAATTTGAGATGAGATTTGGGTGGGGACAAAGAGCCAAACCATATCAATCACCCTGAACTTTCTTTTGTTGTTGTTGTTGCTGTTTTTTAAAAAAACATAAATATCCCTTTTGATTTCCTCAGAAGGGAATGGGTAGCCTACTTGAGAATCATCTTCAGAATTCAGTTATATCAATGAAATACCACAGTGGGATAAATCATATATATCTACAGACATCATCTTAAAATTCAAATCTTTTGTGCCTAAAGTCTGGGATGCCCTCTGTGCACCTTCATTCCAGACATTTATGACCAGACTCCCCCACTGCAAGGAGACACTTGACCCAGTCCAGCTTTGCCATCCAATTCAGAATTTCAGTATCAGGAAACTTACTTCACTACTGACATAAACCAACATTTTATTACTTCAGCTTTACTTATTATAAGGGTGATGTTTTGCTTTGTTATTTTTCAATTACTTTTTCTTATTTCATATTACATTCAGAGCTTATAGTGGAAGGAAGAATGGATATCTTAAACTCCAAAAGATATGATCACTTTCCAAGGAATTCTGCAAATTGACTGACACAACGAACTTACTGAAAATACATAAATGTATTTCCTACTAATTTGTGTTATCGCAGTATTTAAATTTTTCTCAGTTTGCCATAATTATGAAAGTTTTTATGATTGGTTTTCTTAGCAGCCATCTGAGTCATTATATGATGAGTTGATGGGGCCTGATTTGTGAAGTAAGTCACTCAAAGTCAAAAAAGATCATTAGAAGACTTGTATCTTTAGAGATCTTGAAAGCTTTATCTGTCATTGTACATACTAAACACCATTTACCATTTTTAAAAACAATCTTTTGAGGTATGTACTTTTACATCCATATCTTAGAGAGAGCAAACAGAATTAAAGAACTTTCTTATTGTCATATAGCTAACATGGGGAAGGAATATTATATTTACATGTGCATGTATACACTTATCACATAAATATTTAAATATTAGGGATAATGTGATTGTAAAAGTATTAAAGCAATGGATTCCACTTTTCCTCCTTTAATTCTGTCCCAACACTACCTTTCTCTTTCTTCTAAGGGCAGAAAGTGGGAAAAAAATAACAACAAACTAGAAAACTTGATTATGTTTAGAAAGAGATATTGAGAGGTAGGCATTATATATAAAGGATTTGCTGAATTCCAGTTGTTGTCATCTGCTTTATCAAGAGTTAATTAAGCAGGTGGGTCACAGCCCAGAGTTCTCTCAGTGAGTAGAGACCTTGTCCCTGTTCTTCCTTGGGGATTATTTATCATGCTTGCATCCAGAGGCAGTACAGGATCTAGGAAAAGCTGCCCTTTTGTGGGTCCTGGAGAATGGATGATGGAAGAAGAGGGGAGGCTGAGGAAAAAGAGCAGAGGAGGCTGAGGAAAAAGAGCAGAGGAGGCTGAGGGTAAGGGGATATATGTCTAATTTTTTCTTCTATTCACATTGTCCCTGGGATGGGAAGGTAGGGTGAAGCAGAGGGAATCACTAAAGCAAAGCTGGGTGTATCAGTCTGTTTTCACACTGCTGATCACGGCATACCCGAGACTGGGTAATTTATAAAGAAAAAGAAGTTTAATAGACTCATAGTTCCACGTGGCTGGGAAGGCCTCACAGTCATGGTGGAAGGTGAAAGGCATGTCTTCCATGGTGGCAGACAAAAGAATGAGAGGCAAGCGAAAAGGGTCTCCCCTTATAAAACAATCAGATCTCGTGAAACTTACTCACTAAGACAAGAATAGTATGGGGGAAACCACTCCCATGATTCAATTATTTCCCACCAGGTCCCTCCCGTAACAGGTGGGAATTATAACAGCTACAATTCAAGATGAGATTTGAATGGGGACACAGCCAAACCATATTACTGGGCCTTTGCCCTCCTTCTCCACTCAGGACTCTAGAAAGAGGCTACCCACACCAGCCTGGAGGATAGCCACCATATGAAACTGAACCTGGCTGTCCAGGAGGCTGAGTGGGGGTTGCTCTGCAGCCGGCACTTCCTGGACCTCCCTCAGTTGCTGTGAGGTGGAAACAGGCTCTGAAGTGTCTGACAGGCTGCCAGGAGACTAGCCAGAGGAGGCCTTCAGAGAAGAGCCTAGTAGGAGCCAAATGGGACAAAGTGCAGACCTTATTGGGGCCTAGAGAGAACCCACCAGCAGGAACCAGAGAGGTGGAGGCAGC
Source organism: Homo sapiens (assembly GCF_000001405.40). Lineage (NCBI taxonomy): Eukaryota > Metazoa > Chordata > Mammalia > Primates > Hominidae > Homo > Homo sapiens. The sequence goes on along the minus strand of NC_000001.11, from coordinate 239,567,886 downwards.
CAGAGAAAGCCACCAAACAAGCTCCAACCATGCCCAAACAGAGCAGTCTCTATGTTACTACAAAGCCAGGTCTCAGTCTTCAACACAAACCAGCCAAGTGCAGGGAAATGGGGAAAGGCAGCATCCTGGAGCCCAAAGGAAACAGCCAGAAGGCCCTCTTGCCCAATAATGTGCTCTCCATGCTTCAGGACATAATGGAAGCCACACACTCACCTTCACACACCGATATATAATTTTGACCTGTGGGGGTAGAAGGTGGTTTCAGACCAATCCTTTCCCCAGAGAATGAGGAGTACCTGAGGCACTGTTTTAATTATTGCTTCAAGATAAATTCTATAAGTTGTTACCTAAAACCAGTAGGTTACAGTCAAAATAAATGTGTTTTTTTACCCTGCATATCTACCGTATTGTTGTATTGAGAAAAAAATGCATCTATCATTCTGGGAAGTAATGTATCAGCATATTGAGAAAGAAAATGTTAACTGCATCACATAGGATGTTATCAAGTTGTTTTCTGAAATTAGAAATCAGGTGCCCAAGGAGAGCTTACCAGTGTTTGGATTTGTGCTTTTTTTTTTTTTCAGATGAGGTCTTACTGTGTTGCCCAGACTGGACTTGAACCCCTGGGCTCAAGTGATCCTCCCACCTCAGCCTCCATAGCTGGGACATTCAGGTGCATGCCACCGCACCAGCTTACCAGTTTTAATGAGGTTCTAGATAGGTTAATAGATAGGTTAAACAGCCCATAACAGTAATTCTTAAACATTTTCAATAGGGTAATTGCAATTTTGTTTATGGTTTGGAAAGAGCAATCATAAAATTGTATTAAGTTCTTGAGATAATTATAAAATCTATGATTGCTCCATTCAATCCTTCAAACACAATGATGGTTTTCTTAGAATAAGCAATTCTGGTCATTATGAAATAAAGATCCAGATCCAAATAATTTAACTCTAATTTGGTAAATTTCTGCAAAGAATCTATGAATTTATCATTTTGAATACACTGGCACCCAGACACATCATATTAATATGTATTTGTGATCAGTGAAAGGAATTGTATTTGTAACCAGGAGAAAGCCAACTTTGTCTGCATCAGCTCCGCGTGGTAGTGCTGGAGGGCCTAAACCTCAACACTGAACTAGAAACATTTCCCCATGAAAGTTGAGTCAAAGAATATGCCTCAAAATTCCCTCCAAACTTATATGTGTAGAATTCTTCACATTTCTTAGAGAATTAATGACCCAAAGCATTTGACAGCAATATAAGATAAAAATTAAATAATTAACCCGGGTCTCAATGATTCTTGAAAGGAAATAAACATACACAGAAGAGCTTGAATCAAAAGGAACTAAAACTAGACATCTAGGAAAGCTGAACAACTCTGATACAAAAGATATAATGTGTTTTAATAACAACATTTTCCCTTTCCATTAGCAGGTATAATTGCTGCCACTTAAGGAACTAATATGCCTTTGCTACCTCCTATTACCATGATAAATTGCCAGTGGAATGCATTCCAAAGTGAGTAATGTCTTGCTGGACATTGGTAATTCACTTAAACTGGTTAACGTAATAACAGATACAATGACATAATCTCCGGATTCACATTAATATCTATAGCTTGGTCTGCTCTTGCAGACATGCTGCTGAATCAAAATTAAGGATGCTTGGAGGCCGGGCGTGATGGCTCACGCCTGTAATCCCAGCACGCTAGGAGAGAGGGCGGGAGAATTGCTTAAGCCTAGGAGTTTGAAACCAGCCTGGGCAGTATAGCAAGCCCTGTCTATACTTAAAAAAAAAAATACAGCCAGGCATCGTGGCACATGCCTGTAGTCCCAACTACTCTGGAGGCTGAGGTAGGAGGACCACTTGAGCCCAGAAGCTCAAGGCTGCAGTGAGCCATGATCACACGACTGCACTCCAGATTGGGCAACTGAGTGGGAGACCTGTCTCAAAAAAAAAAAAAAAAAAAAAGAAAAAAGATGCTTTCAGTGAAAATCATTTTGCTCATGTTTCTCATGTGGTGTTTTAACATATATTAACATATATCATTTTCTCTATTGGAAGTGATATAAAACAAGACCAGATCAGAGGTGTTATTTTATTTTCTTAATTACTTCACCATGTTAACAAATTGCCTGAAGGTGAAGAAAATTATAACCAGAAACAAAACAAAGAGAATTATTCATCTAATTGTGAAACTTTTAAAAAGACTAAATGCAACTATTCTAAACTGCTTCCAATATAGATCACAAGGACAATTTAAGTAAAATATGTCAATAAATCTTAAAAAATAAATTCCTAATAAAAGAAATCTATTTTTGCCGAAACATTTAAAAATTAATTCCTACGTTTAATTAGCACAGAACAACACAGTTTCATAGTATGACTTCAATAATTGAGACCAGATGCAGCATCTGGGGTAAAGAGCCATTATTTTCACCCAAAATACCTTCCCTCCTGAACTATTACAGTCACAGCAACTTTGATTATATTTAACTCTAGTTAGCACCTACATTCCAATATAGTCCTCATACTGCAGTAGATTTAAAGCTACTTGAGAATCGGATACTATATGTTGCAGCAAGTAGTAGGATGAATCATGGTCCTAATTATTAGGGCCCATCCAGGATCCTAATCCCTAGAATCTATAAATGTTAACCTTATTTGGAAAAAGGGTCTTTGCAGATGTAATTAACTAAGGATCTTGAGGTGGGGAGATTATCCCGAATTATCCAAGTGGTCCCTGATGGTCATCACGTGTATCCTCATAAGAGGGAGATCTGACCCCGCCCCATAGGGGAGAAGGCAATATTGAATATGGAAGCGGAGACTGGAGTGACACAGTCAGGAGCTAAGGAGCGCCACAACCACCAGAAGCGGGAAGAGGCAAGGAAAGGATTCTCCCCTGGAGCCTCCGGGGACAGCACAGCCCTGTTAAAAGCTTGATTTTGGCCTCTGTCCTCCATATCTGTTAGAATAAATTTCTGCCATTCTAAGCCACCAAGTTTGTGGTCTTTTGTTAGAGTTGCAATAGGAAATAAGTACATGGCATTTTATTATTTTTTCCCTCCAAACTTCAAGTGCAATTTAGGATCAAGGAGAATCTTATCTGAATAGTGTATACCCTTAAAAGTGTTTTCACATACTTTTTCCTAGCTGTGTCTCCTTAATGACTGTGGGGTAAGAAAAAGGCAAAAATTCCAATGAAAAATACAATTTGTTACCTAAAAACTATAGTTGGTTGCAGTGGTTAAGATATATGGTTCTATTAATAACCACGAGACAGGAAAATAGTTTTAAACCCTTAGGTAGTATTTTGAATGGAATAATTAGTTTCTCTGTACCCAGAAAAATAGAAATGTTTTTCTTTGTGATACTTAATAAAGAGATTACATTTAAATATATTGGGATAATTAAAATACAAAAGATAATCCTCACGCAGGTAATTAACTCCATTAAAATATTCTTCCAGGCTCCCTCTAGATATAATTTTAAATTGCGTGATTTAAGCATGCTTACTTTTTCCATTCCAGTTCTCTTATCTTTTGGATATCTTATCTCTTATTTGCATCAGTTCCTCTATTTCCTTATTTGGAAGAATTAAATGCAGTTTTACAAAATGTAATATATGTTCTACTTTACATTAGGTTTATTATTTTCTCAATGCTTAGATAAAAATTTTCATCACTCTGTAAAACTAAGTTTTGAATTCAATACCGTACATGTTTTATGAATGACATAAACAGAAATTTGTTTCCTCTTATCTTTATTCAAAATTCTTCATTCTACCAAAACTTCTAAGTAACCAAAGTTAGAAATACACACATTGTCTCATTAAAGAATCTCGGAAACATCAAAATCTTGAGCTTCTAAAAATTATTTTTTGCTATTAAATTTTTACAGAAATCTGTTACAGGAAAGGCAGCATGCTTTTGAACCATTTCCTGTCCTTATTCCAGTGTTCATGAAAAAGAGGAACTCTTTAGACAAACCAGCTGCTGGATTTCCTAGAATAGTAAATTACTCCAAAACTCTTATTTCATGTGATCCTGCCACACTTTTTTTTCCCAGCAGGATTTCCTCATTTTTCACAACTATTTGTTTCTACTCTAAATTAGCTTCCTACAAATAGCCTCTCGTCAGATGAGTACTTACCTCTGCAGAGTAACCATAAATAAAGAGACCCCTTGGTTCATTACATCCACATCTCTTTAACTAAATTCACAAAGCACAACTTTTCCATTGAAATTTTGTCTCCTTCTCTTGAAACAAATCGCTGCTGTAGTACAAACAAAAAAAATCTAGATTCTGTGAACCTATTTGGAATTCTTCATGATTATTGAAAAATCTTTTAGATTTAAAAATAGCAACAATGAAAATATCATATATTTGGAGAACCAGTAGAAAGGTAACTCAAGCCTCTTTTACATTTTTTTTAAGCTTTAGCCATTCTTACTGTCCCCAAATATTGGTCATTTTAGGGACATTCTGATAAATCACTATTACATTAGCTATCTGAGATGCTTTAAGCAATTTTATGCCCACTCTGAGCTGACCTTGTCTTCCTGACTTGGGGTAAACCATTTCTGTGATGATCTCCTTATTCTTAGAAACAAACAAATTTTGATTATATAAACTAAGAGAAAAAAATGTGCACCTGGATGTATCTCTTGGTCTCTTTCCTTGTTGCCCTACACCAACTTCAGAATAAAGAAAACATTGTTCTTCTTGAGAAGGCAGTGAAACCTCTGAAGCTGTAAACATTTCTAGAGGATAATATAAATCCCATCTGTGTGAATTATAATAATGATTATATTAATGGCATAAATAAAAGGTTTGTTGAAACTTCCAACAGCAGTGTACTGTTTCTTTGCCTATATACGTGATGAATTTCAGTTTATTCCATTTCGCTACCTGTAACATTTTTCTTTACATGGTGAAAAACATAAGTCCTGTCTAAAATGAATAACACCTTTTTTTTTTTTTTTTTTTTGGAGACAGAGTTTCACTCTTTTGCCCAGGCTGGAGTGCAGTGGCGCGACCTCGGCTCACTGTAACCTCCACCTTCCAGTTTCAAGTGATTCTCCTGCCTCAGCCTCCCCAGTAGCTGGGATTACTGGCGTCAGCCACCACGCCCAGCTAATTTTTGTATTTTTAGTAGAGATGGGGTTTCACTATGTTGACAAGGCTGGTGTTGAACTCCTGACCTCATGATCTACCTGCCTTAGCCTCCCAAAGCGCTGGGATTATGGGCGTGAGCCACCAAGCCTGACCCAACGCTTTAAAAATAATAATAATAATAATCATCATCATCATCATCTAAATAGAACACTACTATCCAGGAAATACATGAAAACTTTACCATTAAGTCTCAGGAAGTTTGAATGATAGAAATGATAGAGACAATCCTTTTATTTTTATGGTGAAGTGTTAACAGTTTGGGCTTTGGCATCCACCAGCCACGAGTTTAGATTTCAGTTCTATAACTTATTAGCTCCACGATGCATAACCTTTCAGAAGCCAGCTCTTTATCTGAAAAAAGGGGGATATCTCTTATCCATTTTGTAAAGTTGTTATGAGGGATCACGTGACTTGAAATGTGCGAATACTGAAGTGTAAACACAGATAACTGGGTATTGTCTCTAACACATGCCTCCCTTCCCCTTCCCCTTTGTTTCAGAAGTCATCAGGTACACATGGCCTGCACGGACTGATCAGAAATGATTGTGGTTGCTGTCGAGAAAGATGTCTTAAATTTCAAAATGTTTTAGCCTCATTAGTAGATGCCAACATGACAATTAAAACAATTGTCAAACATTGTATCCTGAACCGTCAAAACAAAATTTACGTATGCAAGGTTGGCCAGCAGGTGCAGCAACCTTGGCCCTCCCGTACAATGGACGACGGGAAAGAAAATTGGTATCTTGGAAGGATGGAGATGGTAAATTATAAGGCAAAAACCTAAAAATTTTTCTTCACCAAGAAATTCTGTTTACACCATTTATACTAGTAAATCTTCAAGGATATATTTTTTCATTTAGTAAATATTTAGTGTCTACTATGTGATAAGGACATTTCTAGGTTCTGAGAAGAAAGTGAACAAGAGTCCAGGTATTTTCTCTACTTTTCATAGAGTTTACATGCTAATGAGGAAATATATGATAAACAATTATTAATTATCAGTAATATTATCTATTAATAGATGGTATTAATATTAACAATCTTTTGATTATCTGTTATAGATATTGATAGTATCTATTAATAGATACTATTACTATTATCTATTCTTAATATATAATATTCTTTATGAAGAGAAGAAAATGTAAAGCTCTGTTTAAGAACGATGAGGGTGCTCATTTCATAGTCAATAGGCAGGAAGCTGCTAAGAGGAGATGGAACTTCCAGTGAATCTTGAATAAAAAACAGGAGGCAACCATAATCTGAGAAAATAGCATCTCAGCCCACGAGGACCAGGAGAAGGTAGTCTGGTAGATTACATATGTAGTGAAAGAGGAAGGTGAGACGAGATGAAGGGGAACTTCTGGGCAATGGCCATACAGGGCTCCGCAAGCCACAAATGAGAGTATAGATTTTATTAAGGTATTTTGAAAGCCCCTGTAGGATTTTAAGCAAAGGAGTGTTATGTTACGTTAATGTCATGTGACATTAACTGAATTTCTTGTCTTGGACAATCACATCATGACTCTGCAGATAACTGATTAAGGACAGCACAAGAGTGGTCCTGCGGAAAACAGGTGAAAGGTTACTACCTACACTGGTCCAGGCAAGTTGAGATGAACCAGATGGTGCCTGCAGAGTCACAAAGAAGGAGGCAGATGTGGGATGTGTTCTGAGACTGATTCAATAAAACCGACTAAGGAACTGAATGTGGGGAATGAAGAAAGGAGGAAAATAACACCTATGCTTTTGCCTAGATCTGGGGAAGGAGTGAAGCCTGGGAAAGGGAGATGAGACAGATGGGGGAGAAACAAGTTTGGGGGAGGTGTGGGAAAACCTAGAGTTCTGTTTTGGACATGTTAATTTAGAGCCACTTGTTAGGCATTCAAGTAAAGATGTCATCCTTGTTGTGTGGAACCTGAATTTTAGGGGTCACGGATGGAGCTGACATATGGGGAAAATGGACCCAGACACAGTCAAAGATTTACATGCCAGGATATATATATACACACACACATATATATATATACACACATATATATTTAAAGTTGCAATACAGAATGAATGAAAAGAAACTAAATATGGGATAAATAAATTTTGGTACATTCATACGATACAATGTTACGTATCCTTGGAAGTATATTTTAGAATAATACTTAGAGAAATGTAAAAATGGGAATGTATTGTTATACTATGAAGAGGTATGAGGAATGTGATCACACATTTGTGCAAATATATAAATTACCTAAGTCTAAAGTATAAAAATATTTGTAAGAATTACTTTGGAGTTTTTCAGTGGTGAGATTATAGGTGTTTTGTATTGTTTTTGCATTTTTTGTATTTTTAAGATTACAACATATGGAAAAATTAATGACCATAAAAAGAAATATCATTAAAAAACATCAGCGTATGAGTTGCAATAAAACAGCTGAAGACACTAAAGAAAGATGTAGCAAAAATACTTTAACAATATTTCACTTAATTTCCTAACATTATTGTAAAGTTACTGAGAATCTGAAAGTATTGATATATTTTCTAATTAATTTGCCTAAATAGTGGTATTTAAAAATACTTATCAAACACAAATTTCTCAATACTTTTTCCTGTGTTTTACACACATATATTTTTTGCCCCAGATAATTTTGCACACAAAATGCCATACTTCATCATTTGTATATTTTATTATGAATAAGTGGTATGTAGTTAGTCCATCTATCACTCTGAATTTTATTTGAAAAATTGCAATGTGACATCTACTGCGGTCAATGCCAAAATAAATGGACAATAGCCATACAATGTATTGTTTCACCTTAAAGGTTAATTTTGATAACACCTTGGAAATGATCAATTGTGCAAGAATTGGGTCCTGCGATAACAAGAAGGGTAAGATCCTGGACAGGGCATTAATTCCATAACTCCAGTGGTATAGTGTTATGTAGATGTGGAGTTATACAATTAACGCACTATGTATCCTTAACAAGTTGTAGGTTGTCACCATCATCTAATAACATGTAACAATTTAATCAATTCAGGTACAAGAAATATTGGCCAGCTTCTCGCAACTAACAATAATGTCTTAGTTTTGAGGTTAAAGCCATCATCAGGCTCTCTCTTGAAATTCGTCCTAACTTTCCCTGAAATCTTATGAGGCATATTTGATATTTTAAAAATTAGCCCCTCCGAATTTGGGTTTAAAGTTTGATGTAGTGGTTGAACTGTCAGTTGTTGGCATTCGATTAAATATTCTTGACTGAAATGAAGCAATTAGGGAAAATGTGTTTTATATGGTCAAGGTTAAGCTGAAATGAGAGATTCAATTTTAAACACAAGGATTTAAGTACTCAAGGGCATGTCAGAACATACTTTTAGGAAGTACACTGTAGAGATTCTCAGATTGGACAAATAAACTGATGAACCCAAGAAATATGATCCTGACTCAGGCTCACAGCATCAACTGGTTACCAATAGCTCCTATAGACTGTGAATAATAGAGACAGCCTGCTTTGCTAGTATGACCTTTTCACAGTTTATAAGACTCATAGACTTACAGAAAGGAAGTGAAAGGGAAAGTGATAAGAGATGGCTGTTGTGCAAAACATTTGTGTTATACTTATTACAAGTCTAGCAAAAGCTTATGTCAGTGGTTAAGGAAGTGCATATTGGTGGAAAAGGACTGGCAGATACCCTAGATGTTTTTGGGCACAAAAATTCACTTAGTCCATATTTATGGAGTATCCTCCAGGTGCCCTTCCTGTGAAAGCTTCTATCTAGGGTAACAAAGGAAAATCAGCAATACATATGCAAGAGGAGCTCAGAGACCAGTTAGGGAAAGGAGAATAAACATAAAGTAGATGATTTCAGTTTTATTTGCTAAATACTTAGTAAATAAAGCAAGAAGTTGACTCAGGTGACTCATAATTCTTACATAAGGCAAAAACTTTTGACCTGTATATTAAAGGATGAGTAGACAGTTTCCAGGTAGAGAGGGAAAGGCATTCTAGGAAAAGAGAACATGGGCCAGCCCAGTCACACAAAAGAGCTTAGAACGTTTGACTGTGGAGGATGCTGCCCAAGTTCCGGCTGTCAGTTGTTGGCATTCAATTAAATATTCTTGAATGAAAGTAAGCAATTAGGGAAAATGTGTTCTATATGGTCAAGGTTAAGCTGAAATGCGAGATTCAATTTTAAACACAAGGTGTATGTTAGGTGAATACAAGAGTGTCGCTGGATATGAGTTTGGAGAATTTCTTGAAATCAGACATTGGAAAGTTTTTTTATTCCCATTCAGAATGTGTCTGGACTTTTTGCAATCTATCCATCTGACAAAAGTCTAATATCCAGAATCTACAAGGAACTTAAGCAAACTTACAAAAAGCAATCCCATTAAAAAGTGGACAAAGGACATGAACAGACACTTCTCAAAAGAAGACATACATGCAGCCAACAACCATATGAAAAAAACACATCACTGATCATTAGAGAAATGCAAATCAAAACCACAATGAGATACCATTCTATGCCAGTCAGAATGACAATTATTAAAAAGTCAAGAAACAAGAGATGCTTGTGAGGTTGCAGAGAAATAGGAATGCTTTTGCACTGTTGGTAGGAGTGTAAAGTAGTTAAACCATTGTGGAAGACATCTGGTGATTCCTCAGAGATTAAGAACTGGAAATATCATTTGACTCAGCAATCCCATCAGTGGGTATATAACCCAAAGCAATATAAATCATTCTATTATAAAGATACATGCACATGTAGGTTCTTTGCAGCACTATTCACAATAGCAAAGACATGGAATCAACCCAAGTACTCATCAATGATAGACTGGATAAAGAAAATGTGGTACATATGCACCATGGAATACTATGCAGCCCTAACAAACAACAAATCATGTCCTTTGCAGGGACATGATGAAGCTGGAAGCCATTATCCTCAGCAAACTAATTCAGGAACAGAAAACCAAACACCATGTGTTCTCACTTATAAGTGGGAGCTGAACAATGAGAACACGTGGACACAGGGAGGGGAACAACACACACTGGGTCCTGTTGGGGGACGGTGGAGCGGTGGGGGAGAACAATAGAGAAAAGTGCTAATGCATGCCAGGATTAATACCTAGGTGATTGGTTGACAGGTGCAGCAAAGCACCATGCCACGCATTTACCCATGTAACACAAACCTGCACATCCTGCACATGTACCCTGAAACTTATAAAATAAAATAAGTGTCTGGATTTTAATCTTGAGGCAAAGGGAGAGACATTTACACAGAGAATAAAATACTCAGAGGTGTGTTAGAGTAGTCTCCAATGCCAAGGGGAATGATTACCAGAAGGGAGTAATGATGGTCAGAGAGACCATTAAAATATTTATTGCCATAGTTGAAGTAGAAAACCTCAGAGCCACATAGTAGTCATGGCAAGGCAAAGAAGACAGTTTTAAAGGAGGTTTGAATCACACTGACAGAGAACTCAGATGTAAAGATTAGTTTTATTCAGCAGCCAGCTGAGCACAGAAGTAGAGGTGTCAGGAGCAATGCAATCACGTTGCCTTGATCAACTTCACAGGCAAACAGATTCAGAGCAAAAGAAGATAGCTCTCTGGCCTACTTAAGTAGGCTTTTACACTTCTCAGCAGAGCCCTGGAGGGTCTCTTAGCCCCATGCATGAATGAAAGAATGAAATTAAAGTCCAAGATCCAGTTACTATTTAAAATTTTTAAAAAAATTTTATTTATTTATTCTAAGCTTGTAACTAATGTCCCCAAAAATAAATACGTAGAAGCATCATTCAATTCAATTCAACTCCATTTAACGAACACGCATTTGCTTTCTTCTATGTATGCTGCTTTGTGTGACTCTCCTAGGGAGAGTTAATAATAAAGCTGAAATGAACTAACAATTGGAACTCTTTATAAATAGTGGTTTCTTTTTGTCATACATTTTTACCATTTCTGTCTTGCAACTTATTTTATGTGCCTCCTCTGTGTGGAAGCTGTGGATGTATTCCTAACTTGAGGAGGCCCCTGTCATTACAATAATCTGTCTAATGTACTTTAACAGGCTTAGTATTAGAAGTATCGGAATTGAACTGGAGCTTTAATTACTCTATTTTTAGTGTGCTACATTTTGCAGGTTGTTAGTACTTTGGGTAGAAACCCAACAATTCTTGTCAACAATTTTCACTTTGGCAAACATCTTTTTATATTTGCTTTCCATGTGAAGTAGTGGAAAAAAAGGGCAACTTAATCTTGAGACACTACTTGTGTTTCTCTACCTCAACACTGTGTTGTCCCATTGTCAAAAAAACCATGAGACGATATCATTTGACTACATTATTTTTTGAATCTATATATTTTTTAAAAAAGCTAAAATGAGACATAAATTGTCAGGAATGACTCCAAAAATATTCTGTGGCTCACGTGTGTATTAAGCATTGATTTTTACATCAATGGCAAGAAAATTGAATAATCTTGATTTGGGAAAGCCACCAAAATCATGTATTCAGAGAACCTAACAGTAAAAAGTTTTCAAACATGAATCTGTGCTTCATGGAAAGAAAAGAAAATATTTTTAAAGGTACATGCGTAGTTAATGTTTCTCATTTCCTCCAGCAAGAATTGACTACTTTGTCTATCATTGCAACGTAGTAAACAGAGTTTGATACCTATTTACTGGCTGAGCTTAATAAAGAGATCACTATATTGCCTCCAAAGATCACTAAAAATGATTGATTTACTTTCTAGTTCGAAAACCATCTCAGCACGGTGCATGACTGACAGTTTTTCCAATTTTTGAACTGTTCCTTTTGATGCAGGACAGGTGAGCTCCACCTTGGTGCTTAGCACATGAGGGTTTTTGGCTTCACCCAGGAAAGAATTCAAGGGCAAGCTGGTGGTAGGGTAGAGGAAAACAGTTTTGTTGAAGAGGCAGCATTACAGCTTTGTGACTGCTCCTGCAGAGTAGGGCTACCCCATAAGCATAGAGTAGCAGTTCAGGGCAGTTCTTTAATCATATTTATACCTACTTTTAATTGCATGCAGATTAAGGGGCAGTTAATGCACAAATTCCTAGGAAATGGGTAGTAACTTCTGGGTTGCCAGTCATTGCCATGGAAAGAGGCAGTAACCATTGCCGTGGCAACGGTAAACTGACACAGCACACTGCTGGCGTGCCTTATGGAAAGCTGCTTCTGCCCCATTCCTGTTTTAGCAAGTCCTCATTGTTCTGGTGTCTGAGCCCTGCCTCTGAAGCAGAGTCCCACCTTCTACCTCATTTTGTCACAAGGTCTCAAGTGCACATCCCATATTATTTCTAATACGGTAATGTTTATGAATCAATGACTGTAGTTCCACAACCAAACTTCCATGTGATTAAATAATAAAAGCTGAACACTTCCATGTGACTCCATGTTTCAGCACAGAGAAGACTTAAACTTTAATCAAAGAACCAAAAAACTGGGAGTTGCTTTTCTTCCTTTGGTGAAAGGGCAACAATTTTTTCCCCTTTAGGTCTCAGAGTGCTCACATTTTTCTGGCCCCCATCATCCCTCATAACCACTCTTCAGTGCAATCTGATGATGTACAAAATAATCTTGAGGATTTTTCCTTTAGATTCTACAACACCTACAAATATTTTAGAATGATTTAAAAAGTGATTAGAAATACATAAACCAGGGCTGGGAGCGGTGGCTTACGCCTGTAATCCCAGCACCTTGGGAGGCCAAGGTGGGAGGATCATAAGGTCAGGAGTTTGAGACCAGCCTGGCCAATATGGTGAAACCCCGTCTCTAATAAAAATACAAAAATTAGCTGGGCATGGTGGCACGTGCCTGTAGTCCCAACTACTCGGGAGGCTGAGGCAGGAGAATTGCTTGAACATGGTAGGTGGAGGTTGCAGTAAGCCAAGATTGCACCACTGCACTCCAGCCTGGGCAACAGAGTGAGACTCCATCTAAAAAAAAAAAAAAAAAAAGAAAGAAATACATGAACCAATTTAAAATTACAATAGGTATTTTATCAAAAACTTAATTTTTAGTAATGATCAAAATATGATGTTTTAGTGAGTAAAAATGTCAAATTTTGTAATCTCAAACTATGCTTTAGAAAAGTTGAATGCAATTTTGCTATAAAAAAGGAGCTGCTTTCATTTAAAATAAATTTATTACTTTTTTTGTATACATATATTTAATGATCACTCTTTTTCTGCATGCCTGCGTGCGTGCACACACATACACACACACACACACACATTCTATGCCTTTCCACACATCCTGCCCCTACCCACCTCTAACAGCTACCTAGAAATGTAAATTCTGTAAGGACAGGCACTTTGTCTATAGTTTGTAGTCCCAGGGCCTGCTATACCATAGGAGGTCACTAAATATTTGCTGAATGAATAAATAGAATACTCGAATTCTCTGGCTTCAAATATTTAAACTAAACTCATCTACAACATGACTTTCTTTTCAGATAATTTAATGTTTGAATTTCAAATGACTTCACAACATCATAATTATCTTCTTTATTAAAAAATAGATGTTATCCCAGTACTTTGGGAGGCAAAGGTGGGAGGATCACTTGAGGCCAGGCATTCGAGACCAGACTGGCCAACATGGTGAAACCTGTCTTTACTACAAATAAAAAAATTAGCCAGGTGTAGTGGCACATGCCTGTAATCCCAGCTCTTTAAGGGGCTGAGGAACGAGAGTTCACTTAAACCTGAAAGGCTGAGGTTGTACTGAACCGAGATCATGCCACTGCACTCTAGCCTGGGCGACAGAGTGAGACTCTGCTTCAAAAAACAGATGTGGAAACCACTACTTCAAAAGTAGCTCCCTTTCCTAGGCTTGTTTGCCCCTACATTTAAATTTTCCTTGTTGGGATAAATAACATAGTTGAGGGGATATCTAAAGGGACAATAGAACACCGGTAATTATATCTCCATCATAGAAGCAAAATATGAGATAAATCAGCAAAATTATTTTCAACTAATTAAACTGAAAAGAGATAGTTCATGTGAAAGCATTTTGATGGGAGCGGGATGGGATAGAAAAGACACTTGTTGAGACCAAGAATCCTAGTCCCCACTGTAGGGAATCAATCAATTATAGGACATGTCCATTGATTTCACGGCATTTACATCAATCATTCAAGTGAAAGAAACAAGACATAAGAAAACATGTTAAATGATATTATTTGATTTTTATGAACAAAATTTTCAATCTTAAAAATGGGTAATGCATTCTCCTGAAAGTCTCCTGCTTGTATCCTAACTGAGAATGTGTCTCCAAATAGATATAGATTCTCATTTGTATGCACATTGGTTCCCACGGAAGCATAGTAGGGGAAATCTTTAATTATGAGTTTAGAAGCTATTTACTCTCCAGAATATTAAATTAGCAAGGGTTAACCTGAAGCATATTTTCCAAATTAATTTTATTTTCAAAAATAAAATTAGTTCTCTATTTCCCCACATGAAAATATTATATGCCTCCATATTTATGTGTCTGTCCTATAGTGGTGAGGCTGACTTCCTTACAAAGTCTTTGGAAATCATTCTTACAAATTTAGGTCATACACATATGTCAATCAGTAGTGTACACAGAACAGTATACGTCTCCTCGTTTGTAAATGGAAGATGATAATGGAGTCCTTGCAGACTTGCGACGATTGAGAGACAACGTGGCTAGGAACTCCCTCCAGTTACTAGCTGAGGGTATGGTGGCCATTATTGTTATGATCAAATTTCAACATAAAACTGGAAGTCTTTTCGTTAAAAAGAAAGTTAGAAAATAGTAATCCAGAAATGTTCATCTTCGAATGCATAAAATGGAGACTCATAAAGGTATCAGGAAACAAGCAGGTATTTTGTCAGGTATTAGCTTTTGAAACAATAAAAAATATTTCTTCCAGGTAGGGTGTGGTGGCTCACACCTGCAATCCCAAAACCTTGGGATGCCAAGAAGGGAGGATCTCTTGAGCCCAAGAAATGGGGACCAGCCGGGGCAATTAAGTGAAACCCCGTCTCTACAAAAATAATTAATAATAATAATAATAATAATAATAATAATAATATTAGTCAGGTGTGGAGCATGAGCCTGTAGTCCCAGCTATTTGGGAGACTGGGGTGAAAAGATCACTTGTGCCCAAAAGGTTGAGGCTGCAGTGAGCTTATCGTTTATATATATATATATAAAATATATATTTTATGTAAAGTATGATATATATCATCTATACATATATAAAATATGATACATATCATCTATACATATATATGATACATACCATCTATACATATATAAAATATGATACATATCTATACATATATATGATACATATCATCTATACATATATAAAATATGATACATATCATCTATATATATGATACATATCTATACATATATAAAATATGATACATATCATCTATACATATATATGATACATATCATCTATACATATATATGATACATATCATCTATACATATATAATATACGATACATATCATCTATACACATCAGAAATAGATGACATATATCATAATATAATAAATATATATCATATATTAAATACATATATATTGAAAGAAATAGCCATATTTCATTCAATAGTAATTATTATTGCTGTATTACCATAGTTACTTGAGCATATCAAAGCTTTAATAATGTGATAATACCTACATTATTCCATTATATTTCTGGTTACACAACCGGATGAATACTCTTGATATGGTATATATGATTCATTCAAACATTACCCCTTTTTGACTGATGGATGTTAATCTACAATAGCTTATGTGCTGAAAACTGGAGTAACCTATCACCTATTTTCTTCTCTTAAAAATTGTCTTTATTAGCTTAATGCTTTACAGTTACCTATCTACAGCCATCTGTGAAATCTGAGTGGCTTGACATAATTTGTGCTACTTATAACTCTATCTCATTAGCCCATGTTTGACTTCACTGTATACAATTGGTCTACAGCAAGCAACAAAGATGGGCGTCATGTGTTAAAACACTGTTTTAGTGGACTTAATGATCTTTCATGTTACAATTGTATGATAAAATTTCAGTTAAAATCACACAATTCAAGAAGAAACATTTAAATCAAACAAGTTTAAGTCCTCCTCTGAGTGATGTATAGCTACTCATTTATTGACACAGAGGCCTTTTTTTTTTTTGGTTCAGTTATTTTTTGCTCTATTTTTAAACAAATAGCTTAAATCTACAATAATAATAACATAGGCCAGGTGCAGTGGCTCACTCCTGTAATCCCAGCACTTTGGGAGGTTGAGGTGGGTGGATTACCTGAGGTTGGGAGTTCGAGACCAGCCTGACCAACATGGAGAAACCCCGTCTCTACCAAAAATACAAAATTAGCCAGGCGTGGTGGTGCATGGCTGTAATCCCAGCTACTTGGGAGGCTGAGGCAGGAGAATCACTTGAACCCGGGAGGTGGAGGTTGCAGTAAGCCGAGATCACGCCATTGCACTCTGGCCTGGGCAACAGGAGTGAAACCGAAACTCCCTCTCTCAAAAAAAAAAAAAAAAAAAAAAAAAAAGAATGGTAACACTTATATGCATTTTCCACCTTTCCCAAATGACTAATGTTAGGGGACTTCCTTGGTCATATGAAGTATATATATAAATTATATAGCATGTACGTGCTTTATATTTATGTAAATATGCTTTAATATGTATACTTTAAAAAACAGTGATGAATTCAAGCCTGGAATGTTGAACAAAAGCAATCAAAAGAAATAAAATAGTTATTATAATAAAAGAAAACCTTAAGAACTATTTAAAATATTTTTCTTACTAACTCATAGCAATGCAGTCATTCCACCTTCAGTTAACATGAGGTCAGAAAATTTCTCATCATTGTTGAAATGCTGTTCTAAAAATCAAATTTTCTAGCCCACCTAGGGACACAATCAATCAATCAATAGAGCTTAATGATAAATTAAGAAGGTAGTTAGTAGAGTCAGATACACATTTTCAAAACTCCTGTTATCTTTTGCTAAAAATACTTAAAATGATATAAACATCACGGTAAGTTAAAATTTGCCACTTTTCATTTTTTTCTGGTCATACTTTTTACAGATTTATATTAATAACAATTTTAAGAAAACATCCATATTGAAAGACATTTCATAGAAATCTCTGTAACATGCCAAATGTAATTATTTATTGTGCAATCTAAGGATAAAATGTATCATTAATCATTTGAATCATTAATTTTATCAGTAACTATTGGTTGAGTTCTGGACCCAGGAAAAACAAGAATGAACAAGACAGGAACTGCCCTCAACCAGCTAACACCATAGTGAGGTAGTTGGTACATCAACAAAGCATTGCAAAAGAAGTAAGCATGATTTATAATATAGGCATGCACACAGTACAGAAGAGCAGAAAAAGAAACAGTGAATTTTAAGGGGAAGATCAAGGAAGTTTTCACAGATGACCGTGCCTGTAAACTGAGTTTGGAAGGAAGAACATGAGTTTGATTAACGGACAGTACATCTAAGCACAAGGAAGCTCCTGGGATCATGGCACGCAGGTAAGGCTTGCTGCTGCTAGGTGGGGCTTGGTCAGCAAGGAGGCAGAGGAGATTGGCAGCCAACATGTGAGAGAGGGTCACATAAACCTCTCTGGGAAATTCACAGCTCATTGATTCCACTTCCAGTCACCATTGAGCAGGCTCTCTTCTTAAAGGACTCACCTTCTGCTTGGCCCACAATACAGCCTACTTGAATACACTTCCATTCCTAGGCTTATACTCTTCCCTTTACCATGTTATATGTAAAGTTAGGGGCTATTCTCAGAATCGCACTGTAGTAAAGATTTCATCTATTTCGTGTCTCCAAATTACATTAGACTTCAGGTCTGAATATCCCATGTCTGATCCATGATCTGGCCCTGTGGTACTGAATGAAATGCGTCATTCTGCTTTAGTTTTTAGAGATTCTCATTTAAGTAGTATCAGATAGATATTGGACTTAATCAGTCTCCTTCAGAAGGAGACTCCATTTTTTTTTTTTTTTTTTAGATGGAGTCTCTCACTGTTGCCTAGGCTGGAGTGCAGTGGTGCGATCTCAACTTGCTGCAACCTCCACCCCACAGGCTCCAGTGATTCTCATGCCTCAGCCTCCCGGGCAGCTGGGATTACAGGTGTGTGCCACCACACCTGGCTATTTTTTTTTTTTTTTTTGTATTTTTAGTAGAGATGGGTTTTCACCATGTTGGCCAGGCAGGTCTCAAACTTCTGACCTCAAGTGATCTGACCATCTCAGCCTCCCAAAGTGCTGGGATTATAGGCCACTGCATCCAGCCAGAAGGAGACTTCTAAAGACATACATAATTTAATTTGTGATGTTAAGGTAAACATCACAAATATATATAATGACCATAAAACCACAAAGATAAGTAGAAATCCACAAAAATCTGTCTGTTTAGTAGGTGATATGGTTTGGCTGTGTCCCCACCAAAATCTCATCTTAAATTCCCACATGTTGTGGGAGGGACCTGGTGGGAGGTAATTGAATCATTGGGGCAGGTTTTTCCCATGCTGTTCTCATGGTAGTGAATAAGTCTCAAGAGATCTAATGGATCTATAAGGGGGAGTTCCCCTGCACAAGCTCTCTCTGTGCCTGCTGCCATCCATGTAAAATGTGACTTGCTCCTCCTTGCTTTCCACCATGATTGTGAGGCCTCCCCAGCCACATAGAACCGTAAGTTCATTAAACCTCTTTATTTTGTAAATTGCCCAGTCTCAGGTATGTCTTTATCAGCAGCATGAAAATGGACTAATAATACAGTAGGGCCAGCATTCCAACCGCATAACCTTGCTTTTTTCCTTTTATTACATTCTAAATCCTAATACGAGACTTCATAATGTGCATCTTGGCTGCATTGAAGGGCTAGAAGTATGGCATGCTGCAGGCCCTGGGAGGGCAGGACAGCATCACATCAGTGCCATGGGCATCTCTCACCCAGGCCCTCACAAAGGGACAGCAACACAGCAACCAGGCCTGTACCCATGTCCATAGCATGTAGATTCTTACCAAGAAATGCACCCTCAAAGCCTTTATGCCCAAAAGCTTCCCCCATAACCACTACTGTCCTCATCAGGGGAAAAATCTATAAAGGCTGAAGAAGCTATTGCAAAAATAAACAAGAAGAAGAATAAATGGGTGTGTGCAAAGCAGTCAAAGATAACATTTTAATCTGAATTATAAGCAAGTCAGATAAGTCAGATTAAATTTATATGTGAAAGACTTTCTGCATACAGAGATGGACAGAGTTGGACAAACCAAACGCTGTCATTGTTTTAGATGGTTTATAAGGAAGAAGTGAGGGAATAAGACTTGGCTTTCTGGTCTGAGTGATACATGTCAGCCCAGCAACTGGCTCAACTAGAGAGATGGACATAAAACATGGGCTCATGCTCTTGACTCTAAATATTGCCCCAAGTTATCAGTACTTTCCACCTTGGGAACAAATTATGACTCATTTGGAAAATGTCACCCACTAAAACCACTGAATTTTGTCCAGTGTAAGCTCAAAGGACAATATCTTAAGTTGATTCATAATAAAAACAAGCGTACGTCTGATATAGAACTCATGATTATGAAAGTGAAAGTTCAAGCCCTTACTCCCCATCACTTTGTGAAACATTTTCTACATTTATACCTCCTTTCTTTTTTGCTCTCTTTCTCTCCTGAAAAAAAAAAGTCATTTTAAACATGGTGACAGTCCAAAATTCAAAATAAATTAAACATTCATTTGATATTCCTTGATCGGCCTAATAAACCACTTTTTTTTGTCATTTCAGTATTCCATACTCAAGCTATGTTTGCATTTTGTTGTTTAAGTATTTGTTAATCATTTTTGAAATTCTGAATCTAACAAAATAAATCAATAATTGAGCACATTTATGAAAGTCCTTTAAATATAACACGTGGCAAGGACATTTTCAAATTCAGAAGTTCTCTCATTTACATTATTTTAAAATCATACTATACAATGATTTGTGATTATATCTTTACAATGCCTGACAAAGGGGATAGCTGCCATTCCTTGTGTGGATGCTGTGTTAAGCCATCTGAACAAAGGCAGTATGGACTATATCATAATCATTTCCCTTTTATTTCTCAGAAACTGAGGTTTTTGAAAACTTCACAATTAATAAATGACTTTGAACCCAGGGCTTTCTGATTCTAAAATCTGTGCTCATCAGGATAATCCCACACTCCCCAGGGAACTGACTGATAACTTAGTAAGTGTCACACTGCTCCCAAACACTCGTCCATATTAACTCATGTAATCCATACAACAAGCCTATGCAATCAGATAGATCTCTTTTTATTAGTCTCATTCTACAAATGTGCAAACTAAAGCACAGAGAAATTAAATGACTTGTCCAACTTTGCAAAACTACAAAATGGTGGAACTGGGTTGCAACCTCAGGCAGTCTGACTATAGATCCTGCATACTTCAGCACTATGCTACAATATTAGCCAGTGAATATGTTACCTGTTATTAAGATTTTCGTTCCATTTATATGCAAAAATTTTATTCATGTAACAGACCACTGCCCTCCTAGTGAAAATCATATCTAATTTCCGGAATTAGAATTTGCAAACCAGTTTCATTGCATAAGCCTGGTTATATAACTTGTTTAAATTTAGTGGAAAAGTCTTTCTCAATATTACTGAATGTATTTGTTAAGATTACATTTTCAGTTGTTCATTTTAAACAAGCTAGCTGTATTCTCCTAGCTAAAGAGAATGGTCATAGAAGATGTTAAAATGATTTCAGTTAACAGATGTATTAAATACTATATTTAAATAATATTTACAATCTCACCAAATTCCTACATTGTTTCCTTAGTATCTTGAAACTAAAGTACACATAAGAAGTATCTAATATATCTTTCTCCTTCATGTGTAAAAACCTAATAGACAAAATCTAATAAGAGTAAACACGATGGAGAGAAGCAGCAGCAGAAATTCCTTATGGTTGGTGGGGATTGGTGTGTGCATGGGTGTGTGAGAAACATGTGTTTCCTCATATATCATTTAAACATAATTTTCTCAAATATACCAAAAATTAATTTGGGTCATAAATTAAAATTAATGAGGATTTTATCATTTATCTCTTAGGCAAGTAGCATATAAAATAGTAGACTGCATTAATTAATTGGAAGAGACAATTATGGTCACAACTTTTTCCAGCTCTCTACTTGTGCTGTTAGTTGACCACAGACAACACCATTTATTTTTACAGAGTTTGAGAGTTAGCTAATAATTTCACATCCGTTACCTCTGTTGACCTTCAAAGGAAATCTTATGAACTAGGTAAAGCAGAAACGATTCCTTTCACTTTTCAAATGAAGAAACTGAGGCCTAGAGATTAGGGGACTAGTATGAGGATAAATGCTGGAGCTGAAATGAAATTAACATCTTCTGACTGAGTTTAATTTTCTTTCCACAACACCGTAAATATCATACACCAACTGTTAATATGGTGCATCTGTGAGTGGAAGCACATCAAATACCCTGTATAATAAAATTAAACTGTTGCAAAGCATAAACTCGGTAAAAAGTTTAAGCTTACATTGGCACCAGATCTATATGATATTGACCAGAAGACATCGAAACTGTCCAGTGACGTTTCTTAATTCAGTTAAAAAAGAGGGAAGATGCTATACTTCTAAATTCTGCCTATATAGGTATACATAATTACCACATTTATATACTTATACCTAATAGATACAGCTCAGCATGCCTCTTCATTTTACAATTGGTTGATACAGAAATAGACTAGATCTAGCCATATTTCATACCGGCGACACTAATACATGTGTTTTACACATTTTTCATTATAAAAGTAGGTACTCTGGTGAAAATCTCAACATATAACTGTGTACATGATATTAATTAAAAAAATACCTACTAGTGAAGAGACTTGGTTCTGTACATCATGATGGGGATGGATACAGTTCATTCAATCCACAGTCCTCTGAGTGACTCATAACCAAAATATGTGCCATTACTGTTCATATCTAAACAGACACAAAAAGATGAAAAAATCGGTCAGTAAGGATGATCTCATATGATTTGCATAAGATTGTCTTTCTAATCTGTAGCATAATAATAATAATAAAAAGATGTTTGACAAGCAACCCAACAGAAAGACCTTAACCTACATACCTCTATTGTTGCTGTTTTTATTTCATTAGCTTTAAGAATATAAATGGTTTTTGGTTACACGGGTGAATTTTATAGTGGTGAAGTCTAGGATTTTAGTACACCTATCACCCAAGTAGCGTACATTGTACCCAATATGTAGTTTTTATCCCTCACCCTCCTCCCACACTCTGAATCTCTAATGTCCATTATTATCACTCGGATGCCTTTGTGTACCCATAGCCTAGCTCCTATTTATAAGTGAGAACATGTAATACCTCCGTTTTGCACACAATGTGAAGTATAGCCACACGGACATACTACACAGTCAGTAAATATGTCTGACTCAGAAGTAAATTTACTAGTAACTCAATGTAACATTACTAGAAAGCCATATGCTTATCAATAAGAAAACCAAACTTATCCCGTGATGTGAATTTTTTATGGCCTATGTTTTGATCATTACCTTATGTATGCATATGAATTTCCATTTAGTCTTCACCACAAATCTGCAATGTAGTCATCTCGCTTTACAGATTTAAAGACTCAGGGGAGTAAGGCAAATGGCCCAAGACTCTGCCCTCTATAGAACGTGCTGCTTTACCATATCACGTGGACCATGCAAAACAGACACTTCTTCCAATGATTAGTTGTGCTCTACGTGTCCTACAATGTGACCAACAGATATTGAGTTGATATATAAAGATACATCTCATTGGTTCTCTGTCTCCCATATAGTTCTCTAAAATGCAAGCATGGTATTCTACTCGTCTTTGTATGTCAAGATAGATATAAAGTGAGATCTCGCTTTGAAATATAGTGCCTGGCACATACAAATACGTGATGAGTAAATGAATGAATGAACAGCAACAACAAAAGTAGGCATTGGCATCTATTTTTTGCCTTAATTCACACTTTTGTTTTGTCAATCCTTTAATTTACTTGCCAAAGTTATCTTTCTGTTTGCAATACAATCTCAAGAAGAAAAAGAATAATCTGAAATATCATTTGAATGAAGTTCAAATATATTCATTCCAAAAATTACACACTAGTTAGCAGTCAGTTTAATTCATTTAGAGATCGAATTCTATTTCTCAAAAATAGAAAAAGGTTAAATAATAAAGATATTTTCCAGAAAGAAAAAAATCCACGTTTTACCTATAGATTAAGTATTGGCTTCCTAACGGGACTTCCATCTACGCACCTTCCTAGATCACAGGGGGAAGGATGGCACGAATAGAGGAGAAAACTGAAGTCAAAGTCTATAGGCAGAAACTGCATGATTACTAGGAGCTAGGAAAAGCTGCTCTGGATTGGAGATGCTACAAAAAAACAGCCAGCTTGGAGACTCTAGTGGTCAGATCCCA
Source organism: Homo sapiens (assembly GCF_000001405.40). Taxonomy (NCBI): domain Eukaryota; kingdom Metazoa; phylum Chordata; class Mammalia; order Primates; family Hominidae; genus Homo; species Homo sapiens. The sequence goes on along the minus strand of NC_000001.11, from coordinate 239,544,149 downwards.
ATTTACTCTGCAGAAAAAGCAGCATCACAGCAATCTTTCCAGAGCAGGAGTGGGCAAACTCCAACCCTGCTGCCAGTTTTTGTGTAGCCTGTGAGCTAAGAATGGTTTTTACATTTTTAAATGTTTGGAACAAACTAAAAGACTTGTGCGAATTATTTGAAATTCAAATATCAGAGTCTATAAATAAAGTTTTATTGGAACACAGCCACAGCCATTCATTTACATATCGTCTCTGGCTGCTTTCATGTTACCATGGCAGAGTTGAGTAGTTGTAACAGAAACAGTATGACCCACAAAGCCTGAAATATATCCTATCTGACCCCTTATAAAAATCGGTTGCTGGGCAGGGCGCGGTGGCTCGCACCTGTAATCCCAGCACTTTGGGAGGCCGAGGTGGGCGGATCATGAGATCAGGAGATCGAGACCATCCTGGCTAACATGGTGAAACCCCGTCTCTACCAAAAATACAAAAAAATTAGCCGGGCGTGGTGGTGGGCGCCTGTAGTCCCAGATACTTGGGAGGCTGAGGCAGGAGAATGGCGTGAACCCGGGAGGTGGAGCTTGCAGTGAGCTGAGATCGCACCACTGCACTCCAGCCTGGGTGACTGAGTGAGACTCCATCACAAAAAAAAAAAATAAAATAAATCGGTTGCTGATTTCTGGTCTAGAAAATTGTTCATGCTTGATTTGGAGGAGATTATATGACAGGAAGAGGGGTGCTTTAGGGCAGATTGGAAGCAGAGGTTGGGAACCCCTGGCCTTACAGAAGATCATGAGCCTCAGGGGCAATGCAATAACCATCTTGAGTAGGGCAGGGTATTTCTTTGGGGACAGCAGGATTTTCCCTGTAGGAGGCACAAGCAATGAGTTCAGACTCAGCCACACTTCATGTCGGGCCCACAAGCTGAGGCAATGAGGATGGATGGAGAAAGATGGCCACCGGGATAGTGTCATTCTGCAATGTGCCAGGATGGCATTCTCTTCAAGGGAATATCCAGGGCTCTGTCTCCCTCCCTAAAGGTGCCATTCTTCAGAATGACAGATAACTGAGACAACCAGTCTTCCTGCTGAAGGCCTAAGAAAGGTGATGATAACAACAAACAGAAGAACTCTAAAAAAGTTAAAAGATCCTCCATTCGCCCCCATTTAAGGGCAAAGAGTGGACCACAGCAAAGATGCATAAATGGTAAAAATGTAAAACGAAGAAAGCATGAAGGTTATAGAGAAGAATCTGCTACATACATAATAGGACTCCCATGGAGAGGTGGCATTTACTTTTGAAAAATATCAAAGGAAGTTAAAATACATTTTGTAAAATGTCTATTTTTGAGACAACAGAGAACAAAATCCCAAAGATTTATCTTCAAGCAGAGAAGTTAATTAAGCCCAAATAAATAAGAAGGCCGCTAAGTGGTTGCCCATTTCATTGCATCTTAGAGGTGAAGAGAAGGTGAGTTTTGAGCTGGAAGACTTGGCTCTAAACACCAACTCTGATATATTCTTGCTACATGACCTTGGACAGCTGGCCTCATATTCAACAGCCTCACTTGCATCACCTCTAAAATAGAGTTTTTCTGAGAGTTGTAAGACAAAATATGAACAAAATGTCTAGAATACTGCCTGTCGCATGGGAGGTACGCAAGATTTACTAACTGCCCAGCTTGCTTTCTCTCCATCCTCTTCTAATACTAATCTCCAACCAAAATTATTACAGCTGTAGGAAATGGTTGCCAGATATTCAGTTCTCTCCTACGCTCCATACTTGACTTTGCTCCTCCTGTTTTCTCTGAGTAGATAACATCTTCTAATTTGGGGTGCCTCTCTATTTATCTGGTAAACTGCTATTCATTTGAAAAAATAATAACTCAAAAGCTAATTCTTACCAATCCCTAGTTCCTCAGGTACAAATATACTGCCATAACATTTTGAACATAATGTATATAATATAATAATATTGTATTATTATCTGTTTGCGTATCTGTCTTTCCCAGGAGGTTATATCTTGGTCATTCTGTCTGATATAGTATAATATCAAGATGATTAATTATAATCTCCGGGGGAAGACAGACATGGTTTTTTAAAAAATGCCCACACATACATATTTCTGCCTATCTACCGGCCTACTCTGCCTATCTACTGCCTATACTCCACTAGGCTCTTCGGATTCCTGTTGAATAGAGGAATTTCCTTCACAGGAGTTACAATCTGGAGTGATTTGCAGACAGCTAGGTGTGCAGCAGGTTCTAATATTTGTTGAGAGAAAGAAATGAAGAATGAACAAGTAAAGGAAGAATGACAGAAAGGCAATCTTGGTGAGGATTTGGTATATAAAAAATTGGCTGGGCATGGTGGCTCATGCCTGTAATCCCAACACTTCGGGAGGCCAAGGCAGGTGGATTGCTTGAGTCCAGGAGGTCAAGACCACCCTGGGCAACAGGGTGAAACCCCGTCTCTACAAAAACATAGAAAAATTAGCCTGGCGCAGTGGCACACGCCTGTAGTCCCAGCTACTTGGGAGGCTGAGGTGGAAGGATCACCTGAGCCTGGGAGGTGGAGGTTGTGGTGAGAGGTAATCACGCCACTGCACTCCAGCCTGGGTGACGGAGTGACACCCTATCTCAAAAAATAAATAAATAAAAAATAAAAATAAAAAATGAACATAGCATATTGCAGGTGGCATTGACAATTTAGTTATCTTGGAGATCCATCTTGAAATATGCACAAAATAAAATAAATCTCCTCATTTTATGGATGTAAGTCAACTTTAGGCAGCTCCCAGTAACGACATTCCCTCATTTCTTGAGCACCTACTATATGTGAGGCTCAGTGGGAGGTACAACCTCTAAGTCAGCTATTACTTATATGTGTTCAAAGGAAGATATTGAAGATGAAGAAAAAAATAGAGAATTTTTTTCTTGACTAAAGTCACACAGATATTAGTACAGTTAAGTCCTCACTTAATGTTGTTGATAGGTTCTTGCTCACCTGAGTACCTGGAGAAAACCCACACAGACATGGGGAGTTTGTGCAAACTCCACACAGACATTGGCCCCAACTAAGAATTTTTTTTCCATCAATATTATAATTATAAGAAAATAAAGTTGAATAAAACAAAATTATTCAAGGACCTGTTGTACACCGAGTTCTTAAATCTATGCATTTCCACGTAACAAATCAAGATTCTTCATTACTTTGTTAAATGATGCTTTTAACATAGCATTTATTGTGTGAGCAGTTAATAAATGGTAGCTGTTGTTACTACTGTTATTAACACCATAACACAACATCAGGGAAACAGTTTAACATTATGGAATGTTAAATTGCTATACTTATATAATACTTTATTATAATAAGAAATATGGAAGTTATACTGATATAAGGAAATGTATGCAAAATACAGAATATAAAATGGCATGTATTAGTTAACTAAAATTACAGGCAATATTGTGTATGGTAAATTAGTAAAAATTAGAAGTTAGTATGCTGAAAATAATAAGACCGTGTGTTTGTAGGTAACTTATTTGAAGTTCCTCAATTTCTTTGAGAGCACGAAAATTTCCTTGAATTCAAATTTATGTTAAAACAAACATAATGTGTAATTTCTAAAAGTGGTGCTACTATCCCAGACTTTCTCCACATTTGAAATCTAATTTCTTCTGGTGCAAGATAATAAATTACTGTTGTTTTAGTAAGAGCTGTTTGTTTATCTATTTATTTTACTATTGGGAATGGAAACAGAGGCAGATTTTTTTAAAGGATTACTGAAGTGAAGTTTTCTCTGAAATGGAGTCATTTAAACCACTTACTTCACTTAAAATAGACACAGCTTACCTTAACACTTCCCGATTAGCATAAGCAATCTACACATTATGATGCCGACTTCTGTAGTAAAGGCTAAATTATGTTAACATTTTGTTAAGATAAAGTAGTCAACACATGCTGAGAAGAAATTTATTTCTTATACAGTTATGCCTCACTTAACAATGAGGACACATTCTGAGAAAGGCATCATTAGGTGACTTCCTTGTTGTGCAAACGTCATAGAGTGCACTCACAAAAACCTAGATGGCATAGCCTGGTACACACCTAGGCTCTATCATAAACCCTATTGCACCTAGGCTTTCTATACAGCACATTACTGTACTGAATACTGTGGGCGGCTGTAACACAATAGGAAACATCTGTGTATGTAAACATCTAAACATAGAAAAGGTGAAGTAAAAATATGGCATTTGGCCAGCGCAGTGGCTCATGACTGTAATCCCAGCATTTTGGGAGGCTCAGGCAGGTGGATCGCTTGAATCCAGGAATTTGAGACCTGCTTGGGCAACATGGCAAAACCCCATCTCTACTAAAAAAATGCCAAAATTAGCCGGGCATGGTCCCACCTACTCAGGAGGCTGAGGTAGGAGGATCACCTGAGCCTTGGGAGGTTGAGGCTGCAGTGAGCCAAGATGGGGCCCCTGCACTCCAGCCTAGACAATAGAGTGAGATCTTGTCTCAAAACAGAAACAAAAACAAACCCCAAAATAGTAGTATAATCTTAGAAGACTACTCTTGTATAAGTGGTCCATCGTTGACCAAAACATCATTTCACAGTGCATGACTGTACAGAAATATGAGAAAGAAAGAGAAATTTTAGCAGAACCATAATAGCAATAGTGACAAAAGTAATTGCTGCAAAAGGGTAAGAATATTTGATAAGAGTGACGGCTGAGACTCAAAATCGTCTTTGTGCTCTGAGGGCTGTGGAAGGCTAACCCCACTGGGGGACATCCAGCTCACAGCTCATCTGGGCTTCAGACTTTCATCTTAGGGGAGTTCTAACCAGTGTCACTAACTGCTGAAGCAACTGACATTCTCTTATTCTCATTGAATTACAAGAGAACAAAGGCCAAAAAAATTGAAAGAATTCTGTGTAATCAAAGCATCTTTTAACAAAGAAGGTACAGAAAAATGACCTTGAACCTGATCATCAGGGAATCTGAAGCAGCTTCTTGGGCATGAGTGGGTGGCTTTTCTTCCCCACAGCAGTTATGTCCAGAGTTTTACATCTGACAAAGCCATGTCTTAAGCACACCAAGGGTTGGGTGGGCCTGGGGCAAATGGTGATATTCTGGATAAAAATGCACATTGTAGCTCAGTTTTCTTTAATTGAAAGGGTTATACGAAGAGTCTTTTTTCTCTCTTTGTTAAAATCCTAAAGTTATATTTCATTAGAAATAACTATTTTAGGGCACTTATTTGATAGCCACAGTGGTAAGGAAGGAATTAATAAATCAAAGGGAAAGACAGCCTTGAGGAAAAGGCTCAGGCATAACAAAAGTAGGAGGTGGATTCCTAAGCTTGTTTCAAATTGCTACTGGGTAGGTTTATATGTGTGTTTACATTTGTAATGAGGCAACTGTCATTTCATGTTTATATTTATTGGCTATTAAACTTTAAAGACCAGTTGTACTGAAAATTAACTCCTATATTTATTCCACATGTGCTATGCTGATGTTCCAATGACTTTTTTAATGAAGTTTAAGTAAGGACAGTTAAATGAACTAGACAAAAATCAGTAGATTTTTAAAATATATAATTTACAAAACAGAGACAGCAGCTTCAAAACCTATTTAAATTAAGTCTACTTCCAACATGATCTAATTGGGTTGAAACAGCCCTTTGGCAGGCAGGGGATAAAGAGTCCTCTCAAGAATCAGAGCTGTCACAATAGAGCAGAAGTGGTCAAGCTGTTTGATAGAGGGGTGAGGTGGAGTTTAGCTAATGCAGAGAGGAGGTCAAAAGTTAGGGCAAACGGCCAACAGAGAGAAACTGAAAAGCAGTTTCTATTGGCATCTTCCTGAGGGAAAAAGAAAGGAAAGGAAAATAATACATTTCAGAGAGACTCTCATCACACTTTATAATTGCATGGAAGATGAGAACTATGTAAATTAAAGGAAGGGATACTTGGCAAACCTTCCCAAAAGGCTAAGCTGCAATCTCATTATTTTAGCCATTACATGCTCCTGCATTTCTCTTTCTTCTTTTTCTTTCTTCTGCTACTTCCCCTCTTCCTTTCCTTCTTCCTTTTTTCTCTTCTGCCCCTTCAACCTTTTCAGCTGGAGCAATATCATAATTAACACTGCTCACGTGGCTACCCACATGCCAAGCGCTTATGACTCATTTACACGCATATTTTCTTTTAACACTCTTGCAGCATTGTTAATAGTATCCATATTTCATAGACCTTGAGGCTCATATAGACTGAGTTTCAAAGCCAAATTAGCCAATGAGTGGGCAAAGATGGAAATCAAATCTTAATCTATCTGATTCTTTAATTAATAAAAGAATGATTTTCAGGAGTGAAACTATAAATTGCAGAACTCAGTGTAACCACAGACCCTTTGCAAAAAAGAAATTAGGATGAGGATCGATGAACTTTGGGAACTAAGTGACCATAAGAGCAAAATTCTGTATTGGAGAGCTATTCAACTAAACATTCTTAAAATAAAAGCAATCAAATAAGTATTTAGGGAACAAACGGAATTCAATTCTGAACCTTACTGGTAGGAGGGGTCTTTATTAGGGACTGATATAGAGTTTGGAGGTCCCTCCAAATCTCATGTTGAGATGGAATCCCCAGCGTTGCAGGTGGGGCCTGGTGGGAGAAGTTTGGTTCATGGGGGCGGATCCCTCATGGCTTGGTGAGGTCCTCGATAGTAATCTGGCTGTTTAAAGTAAGTGACACCTCCCTTTGTTCCCACCACGTAAAGTGCCTGCTCCTGCTTAGCCTTTCACCATGAGAAAAATCTCCCTGACGCTTCCCCAGAAGTCAAGCAGATGCCAGTGCTATCCTTCCTGTACAGCCTGCAGAACCGGGAGCCAATTAAGCCTCTTTTCTTAATAAATTACCCTGTCTCAGGTATTTCTGTATAGCAATGCAAGAACTGCCTAACACAGGACGATGTACCATTTAACTCACATGTAAAAAGAGAAAGAAGAACAATTGACACTCGTCCAGGAGACGTCTAGACTGGAGGATCAGTTAAAGGGGTATTTTTTTTTAAGAAACTGCAGAGAAATTGGCAATCAGTCTAAGAATACCTCAGGCATTTAAAACATGCTGAAGACTCAAAGATAGAGACCAAAAAAGTGACACTTAAAAGTCAACTTTGAAGCCAAGGAAAGAAAAGAAAAAGAAATTTAATTATCATTTTAAAACCTAATAGAATCCATTCTGGAATGTGAAGCTTTCTATCAGTATACATCAACAGTTGCAAAATATACATTTAGATTGAAATGAAAATTATTCCCTTACAACCTCTTCTAAGCCGTCCACTAGGATGCATAATAACTCTCAAGTACTCAAAAGTCAGTGTATAACTGATTCTAAAATCTGAAAAGACCTTGGTTTTCCTGGAAATACAGTAAGAAGGCAGGCAGCCAAAAGAACATAGAAAACATTACGACCAGGGTTTTCTTGTTTTACATTTACCAGCCCAGGTACTTAGATGGCTATCTTCACTAGTCTTTGGATATTTTCCTAGTTTTGTATTAAAGGGAAATGATTTGTGACTCAGAAATCATATAATTACCTTGAGTGGATGATGGTTTACTAATATCTTGGTTATGCACGTGTCTGTGTCTATGGTATGTTTTGGAATTACAATATTTACACATTTTAAAAATTGTCCTTAGTCTTTGGAATTGATAATACTTCCTTTAATGTCAAGACAGAGTTAAAGACAACTGCAGTAAGCAATCAAGGATGACTACGATTATGTTCTCATCTCCATAGAGATTGTTTGCAACAGGAGGAGGATGACTGTAGCCAAGAGAGTACTTGTAACCGTGTCTTCCAGCTAGGATTTCTAAGTAAATTATAGAATGGAGGGTATTCAAGTCACATGCTCCTCAAGACACTGTCCATTTGGGGGAACTGAAAAACCAAAGCTGAGGTTAGAATTTAAGGTAAGCAATCAAACCTAAGCAAACCTGAAACCATGAAGATAAGCCACATAAATTCAATGTTGTCACTGCTTCCTTGACTCTGAATTCAGATGGAATTTGGGGCAACATCTTTAAGACGCCTCCCTAGACTAGGAGCTAGCAATACAATGAAGGGGCTTAAATAGTACCCTTTCACACCCTCAGCTGGCTTGCAGTTAAAAAGACATGCACATTGTTCATCTAATTATGCTTATGATATCTAACCTGCCTCAGCCTCATTAGCCATTCCAGACCGGGCTGCCTTCAAGGTATGGTTCAGAATCAAACTGCAACACCCTGTACCCGACAGCTCAGGTCAATGGCCTCTTTAGCAGCCCTTATCTTTGCTCCGGACTAACCTGTGGCTGTGCCCATTAACAGCCACTGACCTCCATGATGTTGTCTCCTTGATCCTAGGGAAACAAGCTTCAGAAGTTTCAAGAGCAGTTTCAGGTCAGAAATGTGCAAAGAGAGATCCCCAAACAGAAATAAATATATGGATAAGGGAAAAACAAAGTCTTCCCCATGGAATAAATTTCTTAGGCCTAACCAAAACTCAAGAGCAACACAAAAGCCTGAATAATTTACTAACAAGACTGTAAGAGTATTTTCATAGGGCAGAACCCACACTCGATGTAGGTATGGGGTGCCAAAAACACAGGGCCCAAAGGAACAAAGGGAAATAGAAAGGACTGAAAACATACTAGATAGGAAATAAAGGCATCTTAAGTAAGACTTGGTGATTGGCGCTCCACTCAAAATTCTAGCTAAACTTGGTAATATGGCAGGAATATAGTGAATTCTCCCTTTGGAGAGAGAAGACAACATACATGGAGAGGTTTTTGCGTTAGGTATGAGATGTACATAATACCAATATTAACCTTTTATTAGAGGAATTCTCCAAGTGAGTTTAAGTCCACAGTACGTGGATTCTGGGCCAGTGTGGGCCACTGGCACGGTTGATTGGTACCCTGGTGAATCCCCAAGTTTTTCTTTGTCCATCCCCCTTCCTTCAGCAAACACTGTGTGCTGAATTAATTCCACTTCTGAGGTTCTGATCAAAGTACACTTATTTGGTGGAAGAAAGCTGTAGGAGCAGCCCAGGCTGCAAATACTAAAAGATCCATCTAAAATGTAAGCTGCCTGAGGGCAGGGACTCTTTCTCACTACTATATGTCCAGCACCTAGCACAGTGCCTGGCATGTAGTAGACTATTTTTGAATGGATTAGCAGTCTTATAAAAAATATAGCATCTTCAAAATAAGTCTTTACTCAAGCTTAGCAGCTACCACCAGTGGTACCGAACCTTTCATTTAATGATAACCTTACTAAAATCAAAGTTAAATTATCATTTTTATTATTTACAACTATTTATTGATGGTCTTATGTGAACCAAGTAAAATACTAAATGTTCCATGTATGAATCTTATGATTTAATCTTCATAATAACCTTTAAAATGTACATTAGCTTCATTTTACAGATAAGAAAATTGATGATTCAAACTTAGGTTGGATTTGGCCAAATTTCCATCACTTTGCACCATGCAACAACTTGTCTTTGTTTTCTGTTTCAGAGAATCCTTTTAAAATCAGAAGTAATTTTTAGATTTAATAATTTTTGAAAACAGAAATAAGGTAAATGTCTGGAAGTAAGATGTGGCTAACTTTGGCATCAGTACAGAGTTACATGACATTAACTTAGCCAGCGATCCATATCCCAGTTCATCAAATGGAATTAGTACCACCAGCTCAGCAAATTAAATACAGGTAATATTCTGTGAATACGCTTTGAAAATTAAATATGTATATGTGCAAATCAGTATGCACGTTCTCCTAAAATTTTCTTTTTTGAGACAGAGTCTCGCTTTGTCACCCAGGCTGAAGTGCAGTGGCATGATCTCAGCTCACTGCAACTTCTGCCTCCCGGGTTCAAGCAATTCTTGTGCCTGTTTCCCAAGTAACTGGCATTACAGGCATCTGCCACCAGGCCTGGCTAATTTTTGTATTTTTAGTAGAGATGGCATTTGGACATGTTGGCCAGGCTGGTCTCGAACTCCTGACCTCAAGCGATCTGCCTGCCTTGGCCTCCCAAAGTGCTGGGATTATAGGCATAAGCCACTGCACCCAGCCCTAAAACGAGCATTTTCATTTCAACACTCATGGTGAAGAAAAGAAGCAGAGAGCCTCCCCATAACTAGCAAGAGCTGCTAAGCCAGCCTCAGAATCAACAGGGCAGGAGAGGTGTGGTAGGGTTTGGCTGTGTCCTCACCCAAATCTCATCTTGAATTGTAGCTCTCATAATCCCCACATGTCATGGGAAGGACCCAGTGGGAGGTAATGAATCATGGGGCTGATTACTCTCCTGCTGTTCTCGTGATGGTGAGTGAGTTCTTACAAGATCTGATGGTTTTTAAGGGTTTTTTTGTTTTTTTTTTTTTTTTTTTGAGACAGAGTTTGGCTCTTGTTGCCCAGGCTGGAGTGCAATGGTCCAATCTCGGCTCACTGAAGCCTCTGCCTCCTGGGTTCCAGCAATTCTCCTGCCTCAGCCTCCTGAGTAGGTGGGATTACAGACACCTGCCACCATGCACAGGTAATTTTTTTTTTTTTAGTAGAGACGGGGTTTCACTCTCCAAGCTGGTCTCAAACTCCTGACCTTAGATGATCCACCCATCTCGGCCTCCCAAAGCGCTGGGATAATAGGCTGAGCCACTGCACCCAGCCTATAAGGGGCTTTTCCCACTTTGTTCCACACTTCTCCTTCCTGCCGCCCTGTGAAGAAGGTGCCTTTCTTCTCCTTCACCTTCTGCCATGATTGTAAGTTTCCTGAGGCCTCCCCAGCCATGTGGAACTGTGAGTCAATTAAACCTCTTTTCTTTATAAATTACCCACTCTCGGGTATTTCTTCATAGCAGTGTAAGGACGGACTGACACAAGCTGGCAGCCAGATTAGCTTCATTGCTGGCATAGTGTTTTACAATCATGGGAAGTTTAGCTTAGTAATGGGGGTCCTGTTCTGTATTTTTAAAAAATCGTATTCACATACAAATTTATGAAAAGAAGGGACAGAATGTTTTTCTGTTCTAAAAAAAAAGACAAAAACTTGAGGTTATTTGACCTTTTCTCATCGAAAGGGAAATGAAAGTGCTTCATAATATATTATTTCCAGAAGAGCGCTATAGAGAATTAAAGGATGCTTTAAAATTATTTAATTGAAGGTTTTCATTATGGGATCATTTTGCAAAAAATAGAAAAAAAACTTTTTATTGCAACTAATGAATTAGTGAAAAGCACTTAAAGACATAGATAATATTTTAGCTGAATCTGCTTTAATCTTTTGTGTTCTCATTTCCTTAGAGGTGATTATGCATAGATTTATAGGAGAGATTATATTAAACTTCACCAGAGGGTATTCTTCTTAATCATCTTTTTTCAATATTCTTAATTACTATCATACTTAATCTAGTTTTCATTACATTTTTCTATTTTTCAGGATCTTAATGTTAAACTTTATCAAGTAGAGTGGAACTCCTACATATCTTTTTTTTTTTTTTTTGAGAGGCAGTCTTGCTCTGTCACCAGGCAGAGTGCAGTGGCGTGACCTCGACTCACTGCAACCTCTGCCTCCCGGGTTCACGCCATTCTCCTGCCTCAGCCTCCGGAGTAGCTGGGACTACAGGCACACACCACCATGTCCGGCTAATTTTTGTACTTTAGTAGAGAGGGGGTTTCACCACGTTGGCCAGGATGGTCTCGATCTGTTGACCTCGTGATCCACCCACCTCGGCCTCCTGAAGTGCTGGGATTACAGGCGTGAGCCACTGCGCCTGGCCAACTCCTACATATTTTATAAGAAATATACTCCACCAGCCGGGCGCGGTGGCTCACGCCTGTAATCCCAGCACTTTGGGAGGCCGAGGTGGGCGGATCATGAGGTCAGGAGATTGAGACCACCCTGGCTAACATGGTGAAACCCTGTCTCTACTACAAATACAAATAATTAGCCGGGCGTGGTGGCAGCGCCTGTAGTCCCAGCTACTCGGGAGGCTGAGGCAGGAGAATGGTGTGAACCCGGGAGGCGGAGCTTGCAGTGAGCCGAGATCGCGCTACTGCACTCCAGCCTGGGAGACAGGGCAAGACTCCGTCTCAAAAAAAAAAAAAAAAAAAAAGAAAGAAGGAAAAGAAAAAAGAAATATACTCCACCTTAAATATCCATTCTAGGCCAGGCACGGCGGCTCGAGCCTGTAATCCCAGCACATTGGGAGGCCCAAGCGCGGAGATCACGAGGTCAGGAGATTGAGACCAACCTGGCTAACACAGTGAAACCCCGTCTCTATTAAAAATACAAAAAATTAGCCGGGTGTGGTGGCGGGTGCCTGTGGTCCCAGCTACTCGGGAGGCTGAGACAGGAGAATTGCATGAACCCAGCAGGTGGAGGTTACAGTGAGCCAAGATCAAGCCACTGCACTCCAGCCTGGGCGACAGAGCGAGACTCTGCCTCCAAAAAAAAAAAAAAAAAAAAAAAAAAAAAAAAAAAAATCCATTCTAGAGAGATTAGTTTTTATACGACAAAGCACATAGCATACATGATTTTTGTTTACCTAGTTTATGATATCTTGAAACACTTAATTCATAACTCCTTTTTAAGTAAATGTACCAGAAAACGTTACTTTCCAACATTTTATGTGTATTGACGTGATCAAACTATAAAATTTATGCTTAATGCCGAAATACAATCATTGGTGCTCATAAAACTATTTTTAAAAGTTTCTAATTCTGATATTCTCAGGGTCTTGCATATGCTAAGTAAAATTCCTGGCCATATTTTAAGAGTTTATCTTTAGACTCTCAATTATGTTCTATTGATCTATGTATCCATCTTTATGCTAATATCACACTGCCTTGATTACTGTAGCTTTATATTAATTTCTAAAATCAGGAAGTGCATGTCCTCTAACTTGGTTCTTCTTTTTCAAAGTTTTTATTATCATTATTGTTATTATTATTATTATGGGTCATATGAATTCCCATATAAATTTTTGGGTCAGCTTGTCAATTTCTGCAAAAAAATCCTAATAACAATCTCTAATAAACATTTTAATTTTTCTATCTTGTTTTCTCTGTCTTTTATCTTTCAGCAGTTTGATCATGATGTGTTTGGACATGGATCTCTTTATGTTTCTCTGACTTGCAGTTCGTTGAGCTTCTTGAATATGTAGATTGATATGTTTCACAAAAATTGGGATGTTTTGGCCATTATTTCTGCAAATATTTGTTTTCTGCCTTTTCTGCCTTTTTCTTTTGGAACTCTCATACATTGATATGCTTGATGTTGTTTAGACCACAGTCCCTGAGGGTCTATTAATTTTTCTTTTTTTTTGTTGTTTTTCACGGATAATTGCTATTCATCAATCTTCAAGGTCACTGGGTCTTTCTTCTGCCATCTCAAGACTGCTTTTGTGCTCCTCTCTAAGTTTTCATTTTGTTATTTTACATAATTTCTGCCTCTTTACGGATATTCTCCATTTGGTGAAGGATCACGCACATACTTTATTCTTCAATCATAGTATCCTTTAGTTCTTAGGCCATACTTACTATAGCTCCACTGAAATCCACTGACGTTTGTATACCTAGTTTCATACCTGGAACCCTGCACTGACAGTTTCTATTGAATGCTTCTTTTTCATTAGTATGAGTCACACTCTGGAAGTCTCCATTTTCTTAGTATTTTTCATTATTAATTCAATTTTTACAGACACACTGCTTGGAGCAGCTTGTCTTTTAAATGTCAACATAAATTTTAATGGATCGAGCAATATAGTTAAAAATATATCATATTAGTTTCAGTTCGTTTGTTGGGATAGAAAGCTGAATTTGAGGAGCTGAGAAATATGTAGCTGACTCAATGGTGCAATTAATTAATTTGATCTATATTTGAAGAAAAGTACTAACAAAAGTAACAAAAAAAATAATTTGGGCCGGGCACGGTGGCTCACGCCTGTAATCCCAGCACTTTGGGAGGCCGAGGCGGGCAGATCACAAGGTCAGGAGATCAAGACCATCCTGGCTAACACGGTGAAACCCCATCTCTACTAAAAATACAAAAAGAAAAAATTAGCTGGGCATGGTGGCGGGCACCTGCAGTCCCAGCTACTCGGGAGGCTGAGGCAGGATAATGGCGTGAACCTGGGAGGCGGAGCTTGCAGTGAGCCGAGATCGCGCCACTGCACTCCAGCCTGGGCGACAGAGCGAGACTCTGTCTCAAAAAAAAATAATAATAATAATAATAAATTGTGGAGTTGAAGAGTTCTCGTCAAATAAAGTTTGTCTAGTAAACTTGTTTTTAATAGATGAAAAGGGTTGAGAATAGCACCTCAAGCAGGCACTGAACCTGCATAGAGTAACGTCTGAAGATAATGGCTATTAGGTTAATGCAAAGATTAATGACGAATGGACAGAGACAGAAAAATATACAATTAGCCAAGTAAAGTAATAATAACAGATAATTAACAAGGCTTTTGTTGTTGTTATTGTTGTTGTTTGTTTGTTTTTTTTTTTTTTTTTTTTTTGAGACGGAGTCTCTCTGTCACCCAGGCTAGAGTGCAGCAACACGATCTTGGCTCACTGCAACCTCCGCCTCCTGGGTTCAAGTGATTCTCTTGCCTCAGCCTCCCGAGTGGCTGGGATTACAGGCACATGCCACCATGTCCAGCTAATTTTTGTATTTTTGGTAGAGACAGGCATTCACCATGTTGGTCAGGCTGGTCTCAAACTCCTGACCTCAAGTGGTCTGCCTTGCCTCAGCCTCCCAAAGTGCTGGGATTACAGGCGTGAGCCACCATGCCCGGCCAAAAAGGCATCTTATAATGTATCAGTTATTTAGCTTTCAAAATGAAATTAATTTGAAATTGGAACTTCATATATTCCCTTTCAGATGATCACTTCAAAGCATCTGGTACTCCATAAACTTAAGACGTGCTATGGTGTGATGTATCACCTCCAAAAACAAAACAAGACTCACATGCATTTCTTTGGTAAAGATTTTTTAAATCTAATTTTTTTTCTTGAAAGGCAACCATTTCAGAACCACTCCATTAAGTACTAAATAAAAACATCTGTGGATTATGAAGGAAATGGGAGGAAACAGAGGATCTAACAGGTATAGATGGCTCCTTTAAGCCTGAATGAGAAGAATATCCACATTGTTTTCGGGGGTTATTCTGGAAAAAAATATTTTATTTAGACTGTCTCTATCCTAAATTCTTTTTTGTTGTTGTTGCTGTTTTTAGACCAACTCTCACTCTGTTGCCCAGGCTGGAGTACAGTGGTGTGATCTCGGCTCACTGCAACTTCCGCCTCCCAGGTTCAAGCGATTCTCATGCCTCAGCCTACCGAGTAGCTGGGACTACAGGCATGTGCCACCATGCCCAGCTAACTTATGTATTTTTAGTAGAGACGGGGTTTCACCATGTTGGCAGGGCTGGTATCAAACTCCTAAACTCAGGTGATCCACCTGCCTTGGCCTCCCAAAGTGCTGGGATTACAGGCATGAACCACTGAGCCCAGCCTGCCCAAATTAAATTAATGCCCTTTTATTTCCATCTCTAACCTCTGCTGCTCCAGGATCTGCAGGTTCTATTTGTAACAAAGATTACCAGGTACGCTGTTCAGTCATGCTTTGGAATGTACTGTAGTTGGATTACTGAAATTTACAGAAGAGCACCTTATTTATTGTCACCATCATGCCCTGCACTTTCAAACAGATGGTCAGCCAAGGGGCCAGTGCAGGACAGAAAGGATCCATGGAAAGCATTTATCCTCTTGTCAGAAGAGACATGTCAGCAAGATTTGCCAAGTCTCTTGCTGATCAACACTTCAGGTACTCCTTGCACAACAGCAGGAATTGGTGCTGCAGGGTACTAATAGGAAAAAATCTAAAGACTTGTCATATCTCATCACACAAAGAGGTCTGTCTATGAGCTCGCAGACATGGACTACTGTGACTTGCCATCATCTCTGCATAAGAAACTACTGATATGCAAGTGTTTTACTCCCTTTAAATGCAACCTTTCGTTTACTAAAACTTACTAAATAATGATAGTTGCTGACACTAATGCCCTTTGAGGGTCCTCATTTTAGAGATGGAGTTGTTAAGTAAGCCCACACGTTTCCATTCTGTGCTGAGAACTTTGCAAAACATGGAAAAATAAAATGCATGTCATCATGTCCACTTTCATAGAAAGCAGTTGTGAAAAGAAAAAAAAAATCAAAAGTTGTAGTACAAGGGGATGGTAATGAAATACAGTTAATAGCTTTTAAAATGCTTATTATATAACATAGATTTAAATATCTTACATTCATTATCTCTAATTCTCATAAGCCTCTGAGATAAGTTCTTTGATTATCTTTATTTTTGTAGATGAGGAAACTGAGGCTTACAGAGCTTAAACCGTTGAAAGTTATTAGCTGGTAAGTGATGAACACTGTGATCAAGGTATTTACCAAGCACCGTAAGAACACAGAGAAAAGCACAATTGACTGATGTGGGGGCTCAGAGCTTCACATAGAACTGTTTGACATTTGAACTAAATTGAAAATTATGAGTGGGAGCTCACCTTGAAGGAGAGAGCAAAAATCTCAGACCTGAGAAACAGCACATGGCAAGTCATGCAGTTGTCACAGATCCAGGAACAATCAGTTGGTCAGCAGTGCTTGAGGAAAGGTAGGTAAAAATGGCAGTGAGTGGGAACAAAGGGGATATAAATGGAGGTCAGGAATAGACTTTGTAAGGGCCTCAATTATTTTTTTTTTAAGAAATCTAGTTTTCATAAAACATGGTCAACAGCTCAGGCTCTGGGAATTAAGCAATGCTAGGTTTAAATCCTCCAGCTCTGTCATTTCTTGAACCTTGGCCAATAAACATTATTCAATCTACTGTTTCTTCATCTGAAAAACTGGGGATAAATACAGTAACTGTTTTGTAGGTTGTTAAAATTAAAGGAGACAGCATTTGTAAAAGACTTATGGCTTTCTTGTTTTTGTTGTTTTTGTTTTGTTTTTTGAGACAGGGCTGTCGCACAGGCTGGAATCCAGTGGCGTGATCATGGCTCACTATAGCTCTGACCTCCTCCCAGCTCAAGCAATCCTCCCACCTCAGCCTCCTGTATAGCTGGGACCACAGGCATGCACCACTATGCCTGGCTAATTTTTTAAATATCTTTATAGAGACAGGGTCTCCCTATATTGCTCAGACTGGCCTTAAACTTCTGGGCTCAAGAGATCCTCCTACCTAGTAGTCCCAAATGTTCAGATTACAGGGGTGAGCCACTGCACCCAGCCATGACTTATGTTATAAGGATGGAAAAAGGTTGCAATGAAAGTTAATTATTCTCGTCATTATTAATGTGGTTACTGATATGGGTGAGGCAGACATGGTTTGAAGCTGAAGGAAAATAAGATGTAAGAAAGAAAATGTCTGATAAATGAAAAAGAGCTCTTTTTCGCTAATCCAGAAATTAGTCTTATGCAATACACCATCAACATAAAGTGCATTCATTTGCACTTAATAGAAGCAAAAGAATCACAGCAGCAGTGTGCTTGCTGAGGCCAGATGTCTTCCTGGCTAAAGCTAAGGGAAGACAAACCCACACAGGGGCTTCTAGCAAATACTGACACCCAGGCCAGCATTGGTATTCACAGAGGTCAAATCCAGTAGGCGAGTGTGTCCAAGTAGCTGGTAAAAACACTGGGATGAAGTGGAATTGCTGTGTCTCTTAATTCACGTAAAAATATCAGTTGTTCATTGACAGTAAAACCTCATCAGGATTTGGATGTTCAGAAAGTAAGATTTCACTCTACAGGGAAACAGATCAGAAAAAGCATACAAGTAGGAGATGAGGTACTTATCAGGCTAATTACAGGGTAGTTTAGATCAGGAGACCTTTTTCATGGACTGTTTCAATGCAGAAAGACTGTGACAGGCAAGGACATAGGCAATGAGAGAAGATTCAGGGCCAGGGAAGGGTTTGTTTGAGGGCACTAGATGGGAGGAAGGCTGACAACACAGCTTAATTCCGATTGCCCCATATAATAAAGTTAAGCCTACTGTTTTCCTTCCAATCTCCCATCACACCCAGCTGAGACTCCATGATCAATTGAGATGAGTCATTCCCAAACCTGGATGGCTGATAGAAGCATTTGAGAAGCTTTAAAATGTACTGATGCCTGAGTTCCACTCCCAGGACTCTGATTTAACTGGAATTGGGGTGTCCTGGGCATCAGGGTTTCTTAAAGTTCTTGAATTGACAGCAACATGCAGGTGAGGTGGAGAACCACTGGGGAAGCAACAGGCTGTGGAAAGCATTTACATCTTTTGCCTACATGCCCTTGTTCCAAATAACAATAAAAAAGAAAACTGTCCTGTGGAAAAAATGCATCACTGCAAAAGCAGTTGGAGAGTTGCAAATTAAATCTATTTTTAAGCATTAAAATAAAAAAATTAAGCTGTTATATAAAATGGTGAGTGGGTGGGAGAATGTAACATGTATGCATATATTGTCAGTTCATTCATTTATTTTCTCTAAAGAACAATCTGGGAATATGTTATAATTTGTATTGTTCAACTTCTGCTGAACTTTGGGATCAGATCCTAAGTAAATAGCCTAATCTGTATATAGGGGTTCATACTATGTATGATTTACAGTTAAAATAATTTTAAAAAAAAGAAACAAAAAGAAAACCAAAATATTTAAAAATACAATAACTGATAGTCAAATCAGGATACAGCAACATGATGTCATGTGCTAGGGAAGTAAATATCACGTGGATTTTTTCTTTTTTGGGGACAGCATCTCTCTCTGTCACCAGGGCTGGAGAGCAGTGGTGGGATCACTGGCCCACTGTGGCCTCAGCCTCCTAGACTCCAGCAGTTCACCCACCTCAGCCTTTTGAGTATCTGAGAGCAAATTTTACAAATATTTGTAGAGACAGGTTTTCCCTATGTTGCCCAGGCTGGTCTCCAACTCCTGGGCTCAAGCAATCCTCCCTCCTTGGCCTCTCAAAGAGCTGAGATTACAGGTGTGAACCACTGTGCCCTGCCATGGATCATCTTAATACATGAAAATTTGTATAACAAAAATGAGGCGAAACACACGATAATATAATCCGGTTAGTACATTGTAAAGGATATTTTAACAGATTGGAATGCTTGAATTTATTCTTTTACTTTTAAAAAATTACTTTATTAATACTTTACAAAAATGAAGAATTTTTAAAAATTCTTAATTTATCCAAGTATTAAAATAGAATATAATTAGATATCTTTAAACATAAAAGATTTAAGAAAAATTCAAAGAGCCGTGGCAGGATGGAACCTTTCTTGAAAAGGTTCTGACCTAAGCCAGGCAACTGTGCAGCACGGTAAAAAAGCTGCAGCTCAAAGAATTCACTTAGCTTTTATCATTTTATTTCTTCAAACTTTTTGAGTTTGTTTAATTTTATTTTTATTGTTAAGGTAGTACATGGCTTACTCTGGTTAATATTTAAATATGAAAAAGGATCTGGTTTTCATGCTCAGGTTATAAATTCAGTTGGTAGAATTCTCTAATTCTATAGAACAATGAAACCTCTACAATACCAATTTTCTTAATTACATTTATCCAATTTTAGTTGCATATGTAGTTAACTAACCCCGAGAGCGGTCATGGCGACAAATAATTGAATGCTTTGTCCGTATTTCCAAAAAAAAAATAAACTACCACTCTGTAGAATATAGAACAATTTTGCTGGGATGATAGCTAACATATTACAAAGTGGAGAACAGGTTACCTAAATAAAATGTCAAGTTGCTGGAAAGAACAATGACAAGGAACTGTCTTCTTGAGGAGATAAAAATATATGCTGTCAGTACAATTTGTACTTATTTGGAAAACCACACAAGGCCTATTTCTCAAAAAACTAAAAAGGCAAATAACATGAGAAACTCATATGTGTGCATATATATATATATATTCTTTGAATCTGTAAAGATCTAGAATTAACAGCAGGTGAGGTTATGGGGTTTTCAAAAGTGTTACAAAGGTGGGATGCAGGTTTAGTGTTTTTGGTAGGTTTAATACTTTAAAGCTGAGAAATGTGGTATTAAATTTTACAAGACGACCATAATTCAGCATCCCTTGCCTGTCAGTTTCATCCTGTAGCTCCCACTTTCTAATGAACTTCATTTAATGTGCTGTGTGTGATTTCCCAACAGAAATATTCCATTCATTAATTTATTATTTAATTTATTCAATTTCTTGAGCTGACAACTCCTTTTCTGATTGTAACCTCTGTACTACACAAAAATGTAAACAAAAACGTTTTACTTGATGCCATCATACTGTTTTATCCCATTAATTTTGTTTGTATATCTTATCACGTCAGCTATGCTTTCGGCCCTCCTGACACGTATGTTCCAACAAACATACAATAGTTGCTTATTGTTAATTGGATGCCCCTAGGGTACACTTTTTGTTCCTGGTTCTGTTGTGAAAATGAAAATAGACTAAAATCAGAATTTCAGAATTAATATGACAACAAGAGAGGGTCATCCAATGAGAATTTTCAAGAAACAACGTAAAACATTTTTACACACTGGGGACAATGGATTCAGATTTCATTTTTATATCTTAAACCACATCTGTCACTGATTATTTCCATTCATCGGCTTTTCTGTAATTTTTAAATGTTATTTTCACTTGTAAAAAATCACTGCTGAGAAATTATTTTCCTATTGCAGCTTGCATGTAGGATAGTGGTCTGTGAACCAGTCGTCTTGTTTAGACTTAGGTTACTTAATTTATAAAATATATAAATACTAGGTATCAAGATTTTTGAGATAATTTAGTGAGGTAGAATGGTAATTTCTAACTTGACACGTTGAAAATTATCATGTCTTGTATATTGTGAGTGGTCAAAAATGACCATACATATATAAATATAATACGTATACATTCTATGTGCATGTGTATATAGCATATATTATCTACATATGTAGATACAAAAATCAGCTCGATTTTTGTCATTTTCTTCTTTTTTTCACTACTGTTTCTCAGGTGGATTAGACAGGTGGGAAGAATCCACACCACCCCACAAACAGGGGCTAAATTCTATGCTCCCCTTAGGTAGGATGCCTGATCTTAGGAGGATAAGGCTGGAGGAGATGCAGCCTGTCTCAGCAGAGTCTCCCTGGGCTCATGGTTCATAATGGACATGAGTAGTAATACTATACACTAAAGAAAGGATTTTGCCAGCTCTGAAAAGTTCAAAATTTTGCTACACCACTACATTTTCTGCGTATGACCTTTCTAGAGAGACACAAATGATGGATGAACTCTCGTACAGGAATGTTTACAAACATTAAGAGTTCTGTTTTCTTAAACCAACCCCAGCATTTGTAAGGCCACATAGTTCTTGGAAGGAGAAAGTGGACTCGAAGTCTAAACGCATCTGCCTGAACAACATCTCTACCTCCTCATTGTCAGCAGCCCAGAAAGCCCATTTCTCCACATGCACAAAAGCAGAATATGCAGAGAACATACATGTCCAACCAAAGCCAGTGTCTGCTACCTATTATTGCATATAATAATCACACCAAAAGGTGGTAGCTTAAAATAATAATAACCATTTCTTATCCTTCATGGTTTTGTTTGGACAGGACTTAGGAAGAGTTTGGCTGAGTAGGTCTCATTTAAGGTCTTTCATGCAGTTGTAGTCACATGTTGGCTAGACCCGGACGATCTACTAAGGGATTGGGTGGGACTCTGGCCCCAGCTTCCAAGAGGCTCACTCACATGGCTGGCAAGTTGGTGACGGCTGGTGGCCAACGGCCACAACTTGTCTCCATGTGACCCTCTCACTCTCCAGGGTTTCTTCAAGATCCTCATGACATGGTATCTACAACTCCCTAATTACAAGCAATTCAAGAAAGCAAGAAGGATGGCACAAAGGCTTTTGTGACATGGTTTGGAAATTGCACACCACTGTTTATGGGATGAGGAAGTTACAACAGTCTGCCTACATTCAACAGATGAGAACACACACCCATCTTTTGATAGGGGTGTTTCTTCATCACCCTGTAAGAAGAGCACTATGGCAAAAAAGAAAAGAAAAGAAAAGAAAACAATATTCAGTCATCACTCAGTATCCTTGGGGCATTGGTTCCAGGAGCCCCTTGAATGCCAACATCCTTGGATGCTCATGTCCCTTATATGAAATGTCATAGAATTTGCATATACCCTATGCATATTCTCCCATGTATCTTAAATCATCTCTAGATTACTTGTAATATCTAGTACAATGTAACGGCCATTTAAATAGTTGTCAGACTGCACTGGTTTTTGAATTTGTGCTATTATTTATTGTTGTACGTTATTTTGTTGCGGTTTTTTTTAGTATACTAAATCTGAGATTGGTTTAATCTGTGGGTATGGAAGGCTGGCTGTACCTCCCTCTCCTATGTGCACAACCCACATCCAATTATGCAATGAAATTTCATGCCTGTCTATAAAACCAGTGCATCAAGAAGTCTTTTGACAACTTAGCATAATTCACGTAGTATTGTATTTCAGCATCAGGAATCACTTGAAATATTTAGTGAAAAACAAAAAATTGCATATTTATATTCATTGTAATGATAGAAAACCAATATTATCATGTCACCACTTGAGAATTCCAGAGAATTTGTGAAGCAGAGATTTTCAGTGAATAATTCTGGAAGGAAGCTGCCTTCCAGGAGAATGAAGAAGGTCTATTGTCCTCTCGTATCCTCAAAGATTCACTGTCTTCCCAAAGTCTCTGATTTCACTGGAACCATAACTCTAAAGGTCTAAAATAGCTCCTCTTGCATGGAAATAGGGCAATATTAGCCTGGGAATGACCATCTGTCCACCACTGGAGAGCCTGAAACTGGTCTATATATTGGCAACTGCAAAGGAGCATCTTTAGCCTTTGGCTAATAGTTGAAGTCTAGGTTTGCTGCAGTAATTGGAAGTAAATATAATAGAATTCTGGATGCTGCCACAGAAATGTGGGAGGACCATAATCTAATTCATTTTAATATAAATCTGAATAATAAAATATATTCTAAAAGATTTCCTTTGTATGTCTATTTTTACACACACTGCCAATCCTGATTCCTTCAAGTTCATATTGGGTCAAACTCCATTTTTTTTTCTGTGCTCTATAATTATGTAACTCCAAAGAGAGAGGATTTTTATCAGGATATATTGGAAACCCTTCATAAGTTTGTACTAACAGTATGTTATGTATGTACAAAATGCCTTAAATTGAAGTTGCTTTTGAAAGTCAACAAATGCCTCAGCAAATACATCAAAGCTTCCCTAAAACAGGGTCAATATCAAATCTTCCTAAGGGAGCTTACTGCTGTAAGAGCTGGAAGGGTCTGGTTAGAATGCTATTTTAGTCACTGGTTTGACTTAAATTATGACACACCTGCTATACCTGTTTGTATTGGGCTGTTCCTGCATTGCAATAAAGAACTACCTGAGACTGGAAATTTACAAAGAAAAGAGGTTTAATTGGCTCATGGTTTTGCAGGATGTACAAGAAGCATAACACAGACGTCTGCTTCAGGGGAGGCCTCATGAAGCACTCAGTCATGGTGGAGGGTGAAGCCAGAGAGAAGGTGTCTCAAATGGAGGGATTGGGAGCAAGAGAGAGCAAGCGGGGTGCCACACCGTTCAACAGCCAGGTCTCATAAGAACTCACTATCACCAGGACAGCACCAAGGAGATGGTGCCAAACGATTCATGAGAAATCCGCCCCCACGATCCGATCATCTCCCACCAGGCCCCACCTCCAACTTTGAGGATTGCAATTCAACACGAGATTTAGGTGAGGACACATATTCAAACTATATCACTGTTAAATACTGGAGTACTTATGACATCAACCATTCTCATCCCCACATACTCCTGATTTCAACTTAAATGTCTGTATGTATTTCTTGGGTATAAGAATACTAATATATTATGAGGGTTAAACAAAATAATTCTTCCTCAGCAATGACTGAGTACATTTTGAGTTAAACATTTGGTATTTGGTATATGAGACAATACATTTCGAGCCTTAGGAGACAGAAAAGTGAAAGAGTAAGAACTAGTTGTTTACGCTTTGGGAGGCCGAGGCGAGCAGATCACGAGGTCAGGAGATCGAGACCATCCGGGCTAACACGGGGAAACCCCGTCTCTACTAAAAATACAAAAAATTAGCGGGGTGTGGTGGCGGGTGCCTGTGGTCCCAGCTACTAGGGAGGCTGAGGCAGGAGAATGGCGTGAACCCGGGAGGCGGAGCTTGCAGTGAGCCAAGATCGTGCCACTGCACTCTAGCCTGGGTGACTGAGCGAGACTCTGTCTCAAAAAAAAAAAAAAAAAAAAAAAAGAACTAGTTTTTAACCACGTGAAAATGGCAAGGTAAGTTGTAATGGCAAGGAAACAGAATAATTCTCTTATGGATAAAATATTTGAGAAGTCAAAAATAAATTTGATTAATATTGAATATTCTCTGTGTTAAAAATATGTCTACTAACAATTCATTTCAAGATAGATCTTCTTTTGATGATAAAAAAGAGAATACTTGTGCCTGCCTTAACCCAGTTAAAGAACTGATTAGCTTATGAATCACTAACAATTGATGTGTCAATCATAGAAAACCAGATTTCTATTATCAAATAAGAAATTACAACAAATTTTGCAAGTTAATCTTGGTATGTCTTCAAACATACAGAAGAGGCTATATTTGGTACGTCTCATAAAGGATGCTTGATTTCAACTACAATATGTAATCTTAGAATTTTAGTTTAAATTTAGAATTTTAGTTTAGTTTCCTAGAGGAGCATCTGTATAAATTTTTATTTATCTAGAAGATTGTACATAACATGCTACATTTTTATATTATTTACATTGAAGGAATTACATTCAAATTATCTCCAAATTATACCCTTAAACTAAATTTATGTAAACAGATGTCAATTTCAGTAGCTAATCCTGAGTACAGAGGAATAAAAATACACCAATTTTACTATAAATTATTAGATAGCAGTAATCCAAAAAGTCAGAAAGGTAAAGCTGAAAAAAATAGAGACTTTTACTTTGTAAATAGGTGTCTGGAAAGAGGAAGTGAAATGCTATTTTCCCTTTGATCCTGTCAACAAATGATTTGCAAAATTTAAATAAAAATGCCAACTTACACAAAAATATATGTATAAAACTTTTCGAAGGTAAATTTGTACAATGCAAATACATTAGTTCACTAGTCTGTGGACTAAGTCTTTGTATTAAATATAGACTGGGCTAAATTCAGGAGGAGAAGGGATGGGATTGGGCAGACTGCTGATGCCTTGGTAGCCTGGCCACCATGCCTCTGTCTTTCAGACAAGGAGATTTCACGTGCAACTACCGCCCACAAACTTTCCCTTAATAAATACTGATGTATAGATTTTCCTATCATGACCTGAAATTGTCTTAATTATAGTACTAGGTTAATTTCTATCAGGATATTGGCAATAGCTTCTGGCTTTTTTCTCCCAAACTGTGGAGTGTGAAAAATTTCAAGCCTATAGAAAAATTGAAGGGGTCTTAACCCAGGTTGACAAATTGTCTACCTTTGGTCATATTTGTTTTCTCCATCCCCCACTGAGAGCATCTTGTGGGATATGTCCTTGGACTTTAGTTTGAGAGACACTGAAACCAATAAATGAGCCTCCTACTTATAATATGCATACAGTTTAACTGTGAAGTTGAGAATGATTTGAGGAGAGGTGGCAGCGGGGTTAAGTGAAGGCTGGATTTCAGTTCAAACTCACATTCATTTGATTCTCTTATGAAGAGGTGAAAGGCTTCCATTACATTTACTATTCTCCTGCATATATTTAATGAGCTGATTACTTTTGCTTCTTACAGATAGTCTACAAAATGTATTTGAGTAACTTAGTCTTTCCTCGTGCTCTTTAAAAAGCAATTAAATTAAAACGTGTGGAAATGGTTTGTGGTTGTTGTTGTTGTTGTCGTTGTTTTTTCAGATGGAGTCTCACTCTGTTGCCCAGGCTGGAGTGAAGTGGAGTGATTTTGGCTCACTGCAACCTCCGCCTCCCAGGTTCAAACGATTCTTCTGCCTCAGCCTCCTGAGTAGCTGGGACTACAGGCACGTGCCACCACGTCCGGCTAATTTTTGTATTTTTAGTAGACACGGGGTTTCACCATATTTGCCAGGCTGGTCTCAAACTCCTGACCTCATGATCTGCCCACCTCAGCCTCTCAAAGTGCTGGGAAGAAACTGTCTTTATCTCATCACAGGCATTGATTATTTATTCCCGGTTCACCATACTGAATTTTAAAGTAGAATATATAAGACAAAGGCAATCAAAATCTTGCTTCCTAAAATGAGTCTTTCAAAAAATGCTCATTTCTAAAGATAAAAGTAGTGCCTGGGTGTGGGGAAAGGATTCAGATTTCAGATGTTAAAAATTTGTAACTCCATGACTCTTCTAGAATGTCTGAAAGATACTTTTGACCTGGCTACCATCAATAATGACTGGTAATTGAAAACCTCATGTATTATATATGCTTCACTAAATTCCGGATCAACTGTATTAGCCATATTACGTTGATGATAAATTCATGTTGCTAATGTGTTTATGGTCTAAATGAAAAACATAGGAATGGCAAGT